>NC_000013.11:88374191-88677221 GCF_000001405.40 Homo sapiens | reverse complement strand
AAAAAAGAAATAAACAACAAGAAAAAAAGCTTTGATATTTTGAAGGACACTAGCAAGAAGTTGACAGTTTTTTTTTTTTCTTGTTAAGTGAAAATGTCCTTAGAAATTTGAAAGTTTGGAGAAAATATTTGCAACTCATTGATATAATGTGGATCTTGTGCCTGGAATATATAAAAAACTCTAACAACTCAGTAATACAAAGACAAGAGACCCAATTTAAAAACTTAACTTGAATAGATATTTCCCCAAAAAATAAGTACAACCGGCCAACAAGGGCATGAAAAGGTGCTCAAATTTATTTTGCTTTTGCTTCTTCCTCATTTTTCTCTTGCTGCCACCATGTAAGAAGTGCCTTTGCCCCCTGCCATGCTTCTGAGGTCTTCCCAGCCATGTGAAAGTGTAAGTCCAACTAAACATCTTTTTCTCTTAGTCTTGGGTACGTTTTTATCAGCAGCATGAAAATGAATTAATCCAGGAACTGTCTGTAAACTAAAAAGTAGACCTCCAGAACTGTGAGAAATACATTTCTGTTGTTTATAAGCCACCCAGTTTATGGTATTTTGTTATAACAGCCCACATGGACTAAGACAGAAGCTAAAGAATTGTTTGTGTCAGCCTTGGCTTTAGGTGGACAAAGAACAAAAAAAGCATTCTCCTCATCTTTTGACAAACTGCTAGCACAAACTGCCTTCCTGTATAAATCTAAATTCAGAATTTATCATAACTTGTAATCCTTAGAGCCATAGAGAGATAGTTTAGCCTAACCTCACCCAGGGATGCTCTTGTTTTCAGGCACCCAGTAAAAATAATGCATAACCCCTCAGGGGAAACTCACATAAAGCTTAACTTATGAACATTATTATTATCATTATTATTTATTGTTTTTATTTTTATAGAGAGATAAGGTTTTGCTATGTTGCCAAAGCTGGTCTCAAACTCCTGGATTCAAGCAATCCTCTCACTTCAGCCTCTCAATTTACAGGGATTACAAGCATGAGCCACCCCACTGCACCTTCCTTCAAACATTTTTTTGGGTCATATTCATACACAATAAAAAATAAATACAAGAAGTGTAGAATACAAGTTATGTTTACTGAGTGATAAATAACTTAAGGATCTGACTGCATACAAATGAGATAATAAAGGTATTGCTAACAGAAAATGAGTTTTAAAAAATGTTTTAGTTATGTTAAGCTGTAAGAGCAGTCTAGACAGGAAAGTTGATTGCTCTGAAATTTAAATGTATGTGTATGTGTGTGTGTGTTTGTGTGCGTATGTAAATATATACATTAAATAGTAATTTCATTTTTGCATAAAACAACAGTGCTAATCTATATGTTCAGAAAATGACACTGCAAGCAAAGGAGTTTTTCTCTTACTGGGTTATGAGCTCATCTGAAAGAAGAGAGGCAATAATTCTAAGGAAAAAATAGTTTGATTGATTTTCTTAGAGACAGTCTTGATTCCAGGAAATTATTGAAAAGAACCCTCTGAAAGCTTTTGATATGTAATTCATAATAACAATCCATAATAAGTACATTTAAAAACAGATGTACTAAATGATTACAGGAAAAAAAAACAGGAAGACTAATTGAAGATGACAATACCAGGAAAATGTATGTACAATATTTCTAGCATTATTGCATCAGTTATGAGGTGTCACAGTACTGATGTAGATGTACTTATTTTCATGGTCCTCAGAGACCCCTCATAAAATATATTACAGAATTATAGGAAGTAGGAGAAACACTAACATATAGAACAGAGGACAAAAATAGGTTAAATCCTAGCCGATAGAATAGGAAATACACATTGTTAATTAAAAGGAGAAAAGAAAATCTCTAGACCAGGAAATAATGTGAAGGAATGATTAATACAGGTACTACATTTTAATCCAACAAACAAGGCAGAATGAAAATGTGCCTAGTTTAAATGAAAATACAGATTTTTAAACTTAGTTATGCCTGCCTACAAAGAGCAGAGGAACATGGATCAAAATGGAATACAGAAAGTGTGTGCCACAGCCACAGAAAAAAATATGAGGCAGAAATAAATCTTTCTACTCTTTCTGGATTAACAAAGATTGCTAAAGGCCTGAAATAGTAAAAACCTATGGAAAGTCCAAGTAGAAGGGAAGAGCTTTTGGCAGAAACAGTGATTCCCACTAGATTCTTGGGAACCCACGTTGTGTAGGCATCAGTTTTGACAGCAGCTTCATTTTGAGTGCACTAAGAATAAGCCTCATGCTGAATCAAATGTGGATTATCAAGGGAGAAATTCCCTATCATAAATATATTACATACCTGAGAAACTCCACTCAAAAAATACAAAAGATACTGTAGCATAGTTAAAAATGCACGGGTCTCCAAAGAAGAAAAACAGAGTAAAAGGCAGGATTTGGGATATGTTACAAAGCCACTCTGTGAACAGAAACTTGGTCTACAAATGCAATTTACTGTGCATGATGGCATGAGAAAAGAATATGTCGGGCCGGGAGCGGTGGCTCACGCCTGTAATCCCAGCACTTTGGGAGGCCGAGGCGGGTGGATTACGAGGTCAGGAAATCAAGACCATCCTGGCTAACACGGTGAAACCTCGTCTCAACTAAAAATAGGAAAAATTAGCCGGGCGTGGTGGCGGGCGCCTGTAGTCCCAGCTACTCGGGAGGCTGAGGCAGGAGAATGGCGTGAACCCGGGAGGTGGAGCTTGCAGTGAGCCGAGATCACGCCACTGCACTCCAGCCTGGGCGACCAGAGCGAGACTCCGTCTCAAAAAAACAAAAAAAAAAAAAAAAAAAAAAAAAAAAGAAAGAAAGAAAAGAAAAGAAAAAAAAGAATATGCCACCTGATAGAATTCACACTCAGTTTAGCATTGAAGTGACGGAAACAAAAGGCTAAGATTTCTGGAAATTTAGAAGTCCTAAATATGCTGATTAGAGAATATGGGAGCTACTAGTAATGCCAGAGGTTACCACTGCACATTACACACAAACACACACACACACACGCACATCACACACACATCAAATAGCAAAGATTGCTATTCACAGGAGTCTTAAGTTGCTAAATGTGATCCAGTCATCTTCTACACTTTCCATATTGATTACATGCTACTCCCAATAGTATTACATTTCCCAGATCATGGTCTCTAGTAAATTGTCATAGACTCTAGAGGCTAAACTGATATTTTTTAGACTTTCCTGTTTGCTTTATCTATTGCCTATGCCATAGGCCTATGCCTCTGAGTCTCTGCTACTAAATTTTAAAAAGTAACATCTTTTGGCCGGGAGCAGTGGCTCACGCCTGTAATCCCAGCACTTGGGGAGGCCGAGGTGGGTGGATCATGAGGTCAGGAGTTCAAGACCAGCCTAAGTAAGATGGTGAAAACCCGTCTCTACTAAAAAATACAAAAATTAGCCGGAAGCATTGGCAGGTGCCTGTAATCCCAGCTACTCGGGAGGCTGAGGCAGGAGAATCACTTGAACTCAGTGGGGCAGAGGTTGCAGTAAGCCGAGGTTGCGCCACTGAACTCCAGCCTGGGCAACAGAGTGAGACACCATCTCAAAAAAAAGTAACATCTTTTTGTATTGTTCTATGCCTTGGTCTGAAAACATTATTTATTAGTGACAATGACATTCTTTCCTGAGTTTTCTAAATATTGTAGTTGTGGTGTGAGGCAATATTTGATTGTCCTATAAATTCTTTGGAATATAAAGTGTGAGCCTGTTAAGAGTTGATATTTAAGAACTCCGATTTTGGGTGTTCAATAAACTGCCTAATTCTCTTGGTAAACAATTCAGAATGCAGCAACTGTGGACACAAAACTGATTGAGGATTAAGGCCTTTGGGTTTAATTCCTGTTTACTTTACTTTATAAGTAGTGGAAACTATAGTATTTGAACTTAATGATGGGGAATATGCTTTATGCTTCAATTTGTATCAATTTGGTCTCTTGCCTGCATATAAAAGAAACTAATGCTGTTAAACACAATAGGAAAGATGTATAAAAAAATCGGGGATGCATGGAATCATGGGAGCAGGAGTCTGAAATGTGGACAGGCAGATGTCTAGGTTGAATGTTGCTCTCACTACCAGTGGAAAGCGTCGAGCTGGAAACACTGAATGTTGTATCACATTGCATCTGGTTCTCAATACTGTTTTAGTTACTTTGAATTAATTCATCATTTATTTCTATGTGCAATCTCCTCTAGATTGAATTTTATACTCTCTGGAAGCACTCAATCATCTAAACCTAGGTCCTATATTAGTGCCTTGCCTGTTGAGAGTTGGATGGGAATAGAGAATGAGGACCTCTTCCCTTTTGATACCTGTTTTATAGAGGTTTGTCCCTTCATCCTATGGATATTAAATACAATGAATATTTTTATTTTCGCCAAAATAGTTTGGGGCTTTGATTTTTATCTCTCTATTCGTAATACACACTTACGCATGCACACACCTGTACATTTTTAGTTCCTTTAGCTGTCCGGTAACCATACATACCCACCTTCCAAATCTCAGACTTAAATAAATAATTGTGCCAAATGTATTCTTAAGTAAGTAGATGCTGAAGTTGAGGAGGAAAGGCAAAGTATAAGGGAAGAGCATTTGTCAGAAGCAATCTTTCTCACGGCTTTAATGAAAACAGACAAAAGAGCAGGACTGGACAGGTGGATGCATTAGATCATATCAGACTGAGAAACTCTCTGCCAGTGTGTTTGGGATCTCCAGAATAAATATTTCAAAGAGTACCTCACTGAACAGACATGGCTAAGCCCTTGCTTAACCTCCTTGTTAGTAATGACTGGGAGCTGCTTGGATCACTTTAAAGAAAACAGGTGGCTGGGCACGGTGGCTCACACCTGTAATCCCAGCACTTTGGGAGGCCGAGGTGAGTGGATCACCTGAGGTCAGGAGTTTGAGACCAGCCTGGCCTACATGGCGAAACCCTGTCTCTACTAGAAATACAAACATTAGCTGTGCATAGTGGAGCATGCCTATAGTCCCAGCTACTCAGGAGACTGAGGTGGGAGAATTGCTTGAACCGGGTGGCGGAGGTTGCAGTGAGCCGAGATTGCGCCATTGCATTCCAGCCTGGGCAACAGAGCGAGACTCTGTCTCAAAAAAAAAAAAGAAAAAGAAAAAGAAAAAGAAAGAGAGGAAGAAAGAAAGAAAGAAAAAAGAAAGAGAGAGAAAGAAAGAGAAAGAAAGAAAGAAAGAAACAAAGAAAGAAAGAAAGAGAAAAGCCCTTTTAAAAACTGTTTGAATTTTTTAACTAATATTTTAAAGGAAATGTAACTTAAATTAAAAATAAGTATTTTTATAATCAGCTCTTCGGCAAAAAGTGAAAATTGCTTGCTTAATTCTAGACATTGGTTAATAATTTTATAAAAGAAATAAATAAAAAAGAAAACAGGCAAGAGAGGGGAACCTGGTTTAAAAACTGAGACAGGACCTGACAAATCTAACAGCTGGAGTGTAATCTGCCTATACCCCTAGTGGATTAGTAGTGCAGTCTTTATTTGAAAGGGATTCTAAGTTTCACGTCCCTGTGTGGTTAACAAGCTTCAAAATAGCATAATATAATAATCCTCTATACTGGATATTAAATGTATCTTCAAATACAAATTAAGAATAGTTATGGGTGGTTCCAAGTTGCTTGTTATAAACACACACTAAGTGAAAATAAAAATAATACATTTATGAAAAAGAACAGCAAACTAAGACATCCTGAATTTATATTTTGAAATATATATTAATATAACAAATATTAAATATTTACATTAATATCTGGCAGTTTTTTTCAAGCAACACAATTTTCATGTTCATTGTTAAAATTTAGCACAGCTGGGTTTTGGAAGTACATAAAGTGAGATAAACAAATCAAATTCCAGATGTAAAAAAAATTAAATATAAAAAACATGTAAAATAAGTAATTGATCATTGTGTTCATATTCTGAAAGTAGGGAATGCTTTTCTTGTAAGTAGTGAATGTCAAGAATCTATTAAAACAAAAGCATGTATTTAAGCATGTAAAATTGTCAACATATCTCAGCCAGATACAAAATTATTATAAAGGACAGGTAAAAGATAGATTTAGGAAAAAAAAAGTGTTATGATTGACACAAAATGGTCAACATTGTTAGCAATGATATTTCCACTATGAATAAACAAAAAAAATCCAAGTTTTTACAGTATTTTATGTATTTGTTTACAATTTCAACTTTTATTTTAGACTCAGAGGATATACGTGCAGGTTTGTCCTATGGCTATATTGTGTGATGCTGAGGTTTGAGGCACAAATGATTCCATCACTCAGATAGGGAGCACAGTATTCAATAGGCAGGTTTTCAGCCCTTGCTAACCTCCCTTTCTCCCCGCTCTAGTAGTCCCCATTGTCTATTCTTTCCATCTTTATGTCCATGTGTACCCAATGCTCAGCTCCCACTTATAAGTGAGACTATGCAGTATTTGGTTTTCTGTTTCCCTGTTAGTTTGTAGAAGGAGGGTAATGCCTCCACCTGCATCCATGTTGCACAAAGCAAATGATTTTATCCTTTTTCATGGCTGCATAATATTCTATGGTGTATATGTACCACTTTTTTTTATTCAATCCACACATTTCTTAAAGATAATTTTACACAATAATAAATTCAAGTGACTAAAAGCCCTTTTAAAAGCTGTTTACATTTTTAAACTCATATTTTAAAGGAAATGTAACTTAAATTAAAAATAAGTATTTTTATAATCAGCTGTTTGGCAAAAATTGAAAATTGCTTGCTTAATTCTAGACATTGGTTAATAATTTTATAAAATCTATCTACAGTATTTGTATGGATATCCATGGCATGTTTTCACACTAAAAATAAGTTGCAGAGTGCTTCCAGTCCAATAAAAATACATTAAAATGCACATGTTTATAGGTATTCTTGCTTATATTTTTAGGAATCAGTTGTGACTTGCTTCTAATCAATTGGATGTGGTAGAATAATATAGCTTGACTTGTGAGGCTAGGTTACAAAGATAATGCTGCTTCCACTTTGCTCTCCCTTTTGAGATACTCTTAGGATGTAGCCAGCCCTGTGAGAAAGTTCAGGTCACATGGAGAGACCACATGTAGGTGCTCCAGCTTACAACTCAGATAGTTTCTCAGTAGATAGCCAGCAGCAACTGATAGCCATGTGGGAGAGTAAGTCTTCAGCTAATTCCAGTCCCCAGCCTTTGCGCTACTCCAGTACTTTTATTTTACTTTTTTTTTTTAGTCTTCTTGTTGCCAGGCTGGAGTGTAGTGGCGAGATCTCGGCTCACTGCAACCTCTGCCTCCCGGGTTCAAGCAATTCCCCTGCCTCAGCTTCCCGAGTAGCTGGGACTACAGGCGCGCCACCATGCTCGGCTAATTTTTTGTATTTTAGTAGAGACGGGGTTTAACCATGTTGGCCAGGATGGTCTCAATCTCCTGACCTTGTGATCTGCCCGCCTGGGCCTCCCAACCCTTCACAATTCTCCACTGTTGTCACTGCTTCACGTGTTTAAATTCTAGGACATTTATTTATTTATTTTGAGACATGGCTAACTAGAAAACATAGGTCCCATAAATAAAATGCTACATCATAAGACATAAACATTTAATTACCCTAAGCTCTACTACCCTGCCCTTCTGAATATTTGAATACATTTCCACACAAACAGTAGTGCAAAAAATGCCATTTCCTCACATTTACATCAATGCTTTTAGAAACAACTTTCTAAAATTTTCCTACGTAATGTGGAACATAATTGTTTTAGTTTGCATTTCTCTGATTTCAAATGAAGCTAACCATTTCTTCTGGCGTATATTAGCTGTTCAATTTTGTAATGTTTTCATGCACAACATTTTTATTCTACTGATTTTCTTTTTCTTGTTTATTTACAGACATTCTTTGCTTTTCTAGTTATCATCCTGTGTCACGTTTAGCTGCTACAGCTGTCTTCCCCGGGTCCCTATTCAATGGTTATTTTCATAACTATCTCTTCATTAAGTAAAAATGCATTGGTATATTTTAATATTTCTCTCTTTCTCTCATTCTCTCTCTCTGTTTCTCTCTGTCTCTTTTTACATGATGCTTTTGCTTTGGGAGTACATGTTAAACATTTCATTCTATTTTAAGTTCATACATTGCTGTACTCCACAATTTCCATTTGCTTTATCTTTTGTATTTATGTTTTCATTTTATCTGATTTCACATTTGTATATTTCATGGTTTTCAGTAAGTATATATATTACTTTAAAATAAATAATTATTTAACATCTATAAATTATAAAAATTAAAAATATATCTCCTATCTTCTCTCCTTTCGATGTATCTAGAATCACCAAACTCTTTCTTTGAGACATACATATTAGCAGATACGAAGTTCCAGTGGTATAGCTTGAAATAATATATTTATTTTACTTTTTTACATATTTTAAATATAACTTCGTTTAATTTATTAAAGACAGGCAGAGAATGTGTTCCTTTGAACACATATTTTTATCCTTTGTGTATTTAATATTAAAGACTGATAAAAAAGAGTCTTTGAATTACTAACAAATTCAAGTATTGCTTATTTGGAGCGCACCATTGCCATGATCTTGAGTGATTTGATGAGAAATCACTGTTGCCATTTGTGAGTACAAGTAATATTCAATTTATATGAATTAAATATCTATAAAGTAATTTTAAAAGTTTTTTTAGGTAATGTAGTATTTGTAAGAAAGCCCTCATAAGTCAGTGTTTTCATTGTTAATGTTTTTCATCATTGAATAAATTAAGTTTTTGTTATTTTTTCAAAGCGCATTTATGACATTCACAAACATTTTATGGCTAAAGTGGAATGAGAATGCATCTATGACTTTTCAGAACAAAGGAAAGATCACAATACCTCATAACTGTTTTTGTTTATAATTTACTGAGCATTTCCTAATATATTACGTCATTTTGTCCTCACAACCCTGGAATAAATATTTATTTTTTATTATAAATAATTTATTATCTTCATTTTATAGCTGACCAAACAGAATTCCAAAAAAGTTACATTGTTCGTCTACATAGCGAGTTGAAACCCAAGATGAAAACCTCAGTCAATAGAATGTATATCATCCTGAGAAAGGTCAGGGAAAGTCAAAGTAACATTTATGGGAGACTTACAAACAATAAAGATTGGAATGGGGAATGTAAGGTTAATAGACACTTTGAAAGCCAAGGTGGGAGGATGAACTAGGAATTGGCCCTGACCTGTGCAGGGAGAAAATATGTGGTGTTTGATAAAGCACTCACTATACAATGAGTCAGAAAACTTTGGTTCATTTCCGAAATATTTCACTATGTTCTTGACCACTCGATATTTGGTTTATCTTGGAAGTTTTTATATCTACAAAATTCAGGATTTTACCAATAAAATCTTCTAAATCATTCACCACTTTATGACTTCATTTTGGAATGGATATGTTTAATAATAAAGCCAATTTTTCAACAATGCAAGGAACATATTTATTCTTCTGTGGCAATAGTCATCCAAAATACACAACCAAATTTGAGGACTATCAAAATCCATGAAGGTATTTATCTTTATTTCACAGATATTTATAGATAGTAATGTCATAATGTAGTGTCACATGCTGAAAATATTTGTATGTTAGTTATTATTTTCAAAATGCATTTATGACATTCACAAACATTTTATGGCTAAAGTGGAATGAGAATGCATCTACCTATTCATATACACAGATATGGACATCCATGCATTAGATGTATCTTTAAGAATCTTTAAGAAAAAGATGAAAATGAGAGTGCTGCCTGTTAAAAAGTGGTCTAAGTTTCAAGATGCCATGGCCTTTTTTTCTTTTTAAATATCTCATCAAGATTTAAGGCATTACTTGATAGATACTTTTGGTCAAAACAAAACAAAAAGAATAAAAGAATCTTAGGGCACGCCTTTTTTACCTTCTTGTTAGAAATAAAATCTTGTAAAAATTTTGGAGGGATTTCCTACATAAACTTCGATCTCCACTTTTTTATACAAGGCTGAGCCTATCCTGAAGAGTTAAATGAGTGCAGATTTTGGCAAACTGAATAGATAATAATTTGATGCATTTAAAATTTATACAATTTTTGAATAAATTATATCTGCTAAGAAACAGAGGCAATTAAAATTAAATGGGGCTTCTCAATACCTAACTTCTCACAGGCAATTAGTGGAGTCAGGAAAGACAGTCAATGGTAAAAATGGAGCATTCCCATGGAAAAGGAAGAATGACTCAGAGGGCAGAGACAAAAGAGAGAAAAACCACTATCAGGAAGCAGAAGTGTTGGTGAAATATACGTCTGAATATTAGAATTGTTATGAAATACTGTATCACCTACTCCCAACCCTTTGAATGCAGATATTTGTTACAGTTGTTCTGTTTCTTTCTCAACATTATGCTTCGTATCTGTGAGTTCAAGGAAATGAACCTGAGATGCTAAACCCAATGAGTTCATCTATATACCTCAACCTGATTTAAATGATGGAATTTTGAACTTCTAAATAAGGACATAATTGGAAGAGAGGAAAGGAGAGTGTGTAATTTTGCAAATGAAAATGAATTATTGTGATGACATGGTGAACTGTGGTATTTTTAAAAAAATTAGTTACCCCAAATTCCTCCCTTCTTGAGCATCCCCCTAGATTTGGAATCTTCCTGTGACAATTTGATAAAGAGATAGTGGCAGAAGTGATATTCAGAGACTTCTTCTGATCCTAGACTTCCTTAAGGTGATAGAAAGTATCTTTTAATTTTAATTTGAAAAACATTCTCTTGGTATGCTCTGTCCACAACCTGTGAGGCAGAAGACTCAGCTCAGGTGAGTGTATGCAGATATTGTGAAAGATAATAAAATAGGTGTTATTTTAAAGCACTAAGCTTTGGGTGTTTGCTGTGCATCAGTAAATCACTTACATATCTACCATAGTATAACATATAAATAAACCCTTAGCCATTCAGTAAAATATGAGTGTGAATAAATGTAACCACGTGCAACAATATGGAAGAGACTCACAACCATGATGTTAAACAAAAGAAGCCACAGACAAAATAAAGTACAGATTGCTTTGTTTCAATAATATATCATTCTGAAGTAGGCAAAAGTAACCTGATGTTAGAAGTTAGAATATCCATTTCTTTTGGAAAGAGACATGATTAGAGAGATGAACATAGGGGCTTCTGGGGACCAAGCAATGTAGCAATGTTCTCTATTTGAGATGCTGGCTACAATTCTGTGTTTTTAATGAAAATAAATCAAGCTGTGCATTATACTGGGTATGCTTTTATGTATATTTGATGTACTTTAATAAACTCTATAATTAAAAATGTTTAAAATTTTTGTGGTGTACAATTTGATTGCTTAGTAGCAACATCAAAAAATTGATAATGCAAAATCTTAACAAATATTGCAAAAATAGGAATTTTTTTGCATTGCTAGAATACATGCAAATTGTCACAATCATTTTACAGAGAAATTTTACAGTAGATAACATTTGAAAATGTACAAAGTCTAGAACTTCACAATGCTACTTCTATCTATGTGCCTTAGTAAAATCTGTGCATACGTATATGAGGAAATATGTACGATAACATTTACTGAAACATTTTTTAATGGAAGACATTTAGAAAAATGAAACAAATAGGTATTCATCCATAAATAAAAAATGCTGACATAAGTTGAGTTATAGATGTAAAATGAATACTCTGTAACTATTAAAATGAAATTAGAATCAAATGTATAAACAGGAACATATCACAAAAACAGTTTAACTAAAAGACGGGAATATAGACTGATATAATTTCCAAAATAGTTTAAAAATACAATACTTTTTATAGTTGTTTACGGATTCAAATACATTTAGTAATCATTTAAAAATACTTCTGAGGGTTACTGTAAAAAAAACCACACAGTCATTGTTTGGGGGAAAAGGAACAAGGGAAACAGAATTAAAGAGGGGAATATGTGGGTTTGAATGACATTTGCAATGTTTAATTCCTTAAAGGTATTCTAAAGAAGATATGACACATATTAACATGTGATTTAATTTATATTCTAATAAACAGATAAAAGTAAGTTTATAAGCTGTAGATTTTAGTATATAGGCTTTCTCCTTGATAAACATAAATACTTTAACTTAGGCATGTCATTATACATTTATTAACTTAGGAATGTCAATATACATTTATTAAATTACGATTTTGTCTATCTGCAATATTTGGCAATTATAAATCTGACTGATACAAATGAACTTGTGTCAAGATCTCACCTTAAGAAAATGTGGTTTTAAAGTGTTTATAGTCAACTTAAGGATTTTATTTGACACTACTCTCACCGATTATTTTTTACAAATGTTTTGAAGGCATGCCTTCATGTATGTTATCTGTACTCAAAAGTGTTTTGTTCAAATGAAATTGATTCTCTTTGGAGAATCCCAAAGGAGATATTTAAAAGCTCACCGATAGTAATGAAAATGCCATTTTGATTACCAAGTAGTACATAACACCTTTAGGATTGTTATCACGTCCAAAAGATTGTCTTTGAAATTCAGACAGAACACTGAACATAGACAACACCAAAGTCCTTGCACATTATTCCCAGTTGTGCGAAATGCCAAAGGAGATCAATGAGTTTTGTGATCTGAACGACCTCTCTGTAGTTTCTATGTTCAAGCAATTTGTTGTGACAGTATTATTTATTCTCTGCTGGCGGTACACATGCTTCAGTGTATACTCAGATACAGTTTTAATGCTGTATAATTGCTTTGTCTGTAACTGAGACTGCCATTGGCCACCAATATTTGGTTGCAAAATAAAAATACATTTAAAAAATTGGAATCACAATATATTAAAACATAACTAGCTTTTTTACACACAATTTCTTCATCCTTCTGCTTAAATTATACACTAACATTAGTTTCTTTATAAACCTTTGGAGGAACTCTGTCCCAGGAGTTATAAAACAAGAATTTGAGTATTCACGTAACAGTTTATTGAGCTCTTGTGATATGTCGTGTTTTGAAGTGCTGTCCTTAAGAAGCTTATGGTCTAGTGAAGCAAGCAATCGAGTAACAGGTGCATTACTCTGAAGTTAGTGAAGCATAGGATTAGATAATAAGTGCATTACTGTACAGTATAATAAGTACTTCCACACTGATAAGCAAGAGGTCAATGAGCAGTCATATGTAGAGATATTCACAGAAGACTTTAAAGGCTAGTGCTTTCATAAAGAAAGGAAAGTAACTGCTCTTTGACTGGATATTTGAAAGGGGTATTTGTGTTATCATGTTTGAGTTGAGAACTGAAGGAGAAGTGCCCTAGGAAGATAGCATAGTATCATCAAATGATAACAGATGCAACAGAGCAGAGCGGGAAGCAGCATGGTGTTCAGCACCAAATGAACAGGAGGCGAATGTGTGAGGAGAACTGATGGAAAGAGAGGAAAAATAAGGACTGGATGATCACAGGATCTCTATGAGGGGTCAGAAATAAGTCATTAGAATTTAGAAATAGAATCAATAGGTCTTGATGATTGACTGGGTTTACTAAATGACCTACCAACAAGTTTTTCAGTAACTCCTCAGCTTATGCCCAGATTCTTCAACATGTCATTTTGAAGATGATTGTAGGTGCCTGTCACCATTTAAAAAATAATTTATAAGCTGGGTGCCATGACTCACAACTGTAATCCCAGCATTTGGGGAGGCTGAGCCTTCAAAAGAGGATCACCTGAGCCCAAGCGTTTGAGACCAGCCTGGGAAACACAGAGAGATCCTATCTCTAGAAAAAAAATAGAAAAAATTATCCAGGCATGGTGGTGCACACCTGCAGTCCCAGCTACTTGGACGGCTGGGGAGGGAAGCTCACTTAAGCCCACGAGGTCAAGACTGCAGTAAGCCATGTTCATACACTGCACTCCAGCCTGGGTGACAGAGTGAGATTCTTTCTCTAAATAAATAAATAAAAATCAGTCAAAGTTTTAAAAATACTTTGTAACAGAGACAGAAGGCATTATATAAGAGAAATACATGGCTGTAATTTCCACAGAAGTGTGTGTAAAGCTGTTTCGTTAAAGCATCCAATCACTGAAAAAGGAGATATTTCAGAAAACATTGTTGTATTCTACCTTATTCTTTAGAAATGCTAATTGCCTGTAGTGGTTGACTGATATAGAGTGTCAGGGATGTTACTGTGATTTGCAATGTACACATCACTCCAAAGAAATGAAGTGTTTTCCCTAACCTGGAAGAATAATGAAATCTTCTGTTGCATATGCATGTAGACTAAAAAAACAGCTTATATTTTTCTAAACAACATTTAAATCTCTATAGCAAAATTATTTTTGCAAGAGTTTAATATTTATAACAAATTCTACAAATGCAACTACTATGTCAGTTGTAGGAATAAGGCAGTTTGTTTTGTTCAAAATTAGACTAATTTTTTATCATGTCAATAAAATGTGTTATCTTAATAATGCTGTTTGTGAGATTGAAATATATCATTTACCAATGCAATGATTTTCCAGTTATTCTACATGTAGATGTAAGTACAGAATGACTTTGTCATATCTTCTAAGTTAGTCAGGATGCAAATGTAAATAGTGGAATCCATATTATTGAACTACTAATTTATTTCCTTTTATTTTGATTTTGTGATATATTTTAAAAACCAGAGTGACTATTAAAATTATTCTACTGTGGTTTTGACTAGCATTTTCAAAATAACTAATAATATTGATCACCTTTTCATGTGCTAATTGGCCATTTGTACATCATCTTTGGAGAAAGTTCTATTATTTTGTCCATTTTCAATTGGGTTATTAGCCATTCTATTGTTAAATTATATGAGTTATATATATGTTCTAGATACTAGGTTTTTATTATATAAACAATTTGCAAACATTTTCTTCCATTTTATTGCTTACATTTTCTCTTTTTGCTGGTGTTATTTGATGCACAAAAGTTTGCTGTAACATAATATGAAATCTTTTTTCACATAAAAAGTTAGGTTAATGCCTTTTCAAAAGTGAAAAATATGGCAAAAACTTTATTGATTTTAAATTATCTGAAAATAAATCAACTTTCTCAAATTATAGCTATATTTGACTCTATAGGAAAAACAGGTATTTGTCTAATTTCCCCCTTTAAAAAAATAAATAAGTGTTCCCCTTTAACAAATTAATCATTTTAGTTTTACTGAATAGTATATATTTTATATATAGTATATTTTTATTTTATAAAAATTACTAAACAAGTTCTTTTATATTAAAATAAATACACATTTTAAGATAGAAAAAAATTCCTTAATGGAAGATAAGATCAATAAAAACAAATATTAATACTTACACAATACTGAAAAGCTCAAAAAGCAAGAGTGCCCCTTTTCCTCCAAATGACCACAACACCTCCCAGCAAGGGCTCAGAACTAGGCTTAGGCTGAGATGGCTGAAATGACAAAAATAGGTTTCAGAATGTGGATTAAAAACAAACTTCCCTGAGCCAAAGAAGCATGTTGTAACACAATGCAAAGAAACTGAGAATCATGATAAAACAATGCAGGAGCTCACAGACAAAATTGCCAGTTTAGAGAGGGACATAACAGACCTGATAGAGGTGAAAAACACACTACAAGAACTTCACAGTGCAATCACTAGTATTAATAGCAGAATAGAGAGAGCGAAGGAAAGAATCTCAGAGCTTGAAGACTGTCTTTCTAAAATAGGACAGGCAGACAAGAATAGAGAAGAAAGAATGAAAAGGGATGAACAAAACCTCTGAGAAATATGGGATTATGTAAAGAGACCAAATCTACAACTGATTGGGATACCTGAAAGGGATAGGGAGAATAGAACCAACTTGGAAAACATACTTCAGGATATCATCCAGGAGAACATTCTCAACATAACAAGACAGGCCAACATTCAAATTCAGGAAACTCAGAAGCCCCAGTAAGATACTCCATGAGAAGATCATCCCCAAGACCCATAATCATCAGATTCTCCAAGGTCAAAATGAAAAAAAAAAAATGTTAAGTGCCACCAGAGCAAAAGGTCAGGCCAGGCCATCTACAAAGGGAAGTGTAACAGACTAACAGCAGACCTCCCAGTGGAAACTGTACAAACCAGAAGAGATTCTTAAAACAAAGAATTTCTAACCCAGAATTTCATATCTGGCCCAACTAAGCTTTATAAGCAAAAGAGAAATAAGATTATTTTCAGAGAAGTAAATGCTGAAAGAATTTGTTACCACCAGACCTGCCTTACAAGAGCTCCTAAAGGAAGCACTAAATATGAAAAGGGAAAACCTTACCAGCCACTACTAACACACACTGAACTACACAGACAAGTTATACTAAAAAGCAACCACATAAACAAGTCTGCAAAATAACGAGCTAACATCATGATGACTGGATCAAACCCACACATAACAATATTAACCTTAAATGTAAATGGTATACATGTCTCAGTTAAAAGACACAGAATGGAAAGCCACACCAGCTCAAAATAAAGGGGTAGAGGAAAATTTACCAAGCAAATGGAAAACAAAAAAAAGCAGGGTTGCAATCCTAGTTTCTGACAAAGCAAACATTAAACAAACGAAGATCAAAAAGGACAAAGAAGGGCATTACATAATGGTAAAGGGTTCAATTCAACGAGAAGAGCTAACTATCCTAAATATATATGCACCCCAAACAGAAGCACTCAGATTCATAAAGCAATTTCTTAAAGACCTTCAAAGAGACTTAGACTCCCACACAATAATAGTGGGAGATTTTAACACCCCACTGACAATATTGGACAGGTAATTGAGACAGAAAATTAACAAAGATATTCAGGACCTGAACTTAGCTCTGGATTAAGTGGACCTGATAGATATCTACAGAACTCTCCACCCAAAAACAACAAAATATACATTCTTCTCATTGCCACACAGTTCTTACTCTAAAACTGATCACATAATCAAAAGTAAAACACTTCTTAGCAAATGCAAGAGAACTGAAATCACAACAAACAGCCTCTCAGACCAGAGCACAATCAAATTAGAACTCAAGATTAAGAAATTCACTCAAAGCCACACAACTATATGCAAATTGAACATCCTGCTCTTAAATGACTTTTGGGTAAATAATAAAATTAAGACAGTCATCCTGAAGTTCTTTGAAACTAATGAGAACAAATATACAATGTACCAGAGCCTCTGGGATGCAGCTAAAGCAGTGTTAAGAGGACAGTTTATAGCACCAAATACTCACATCAGTAATCTAGAAAGATCTCAAGTTAACAACCTGAGCTTAATACCAAGGTGATGGAATGATCTGTGCAGCAAACTACTGTGGAACATGTTTACCTATTTAACAAACCTGTACATCCTGCAATGTACTCCTGAACTTAAAATTTGGAAATAAGATAAAATAAACAAAAGGGATAGGTACAAGCTTATACTCTCAGTCTCTTTGTCTCTCTCTCTCTCTCCCTCCCTCCCTCCCTCTGCCCTCCTCTGTCTTCCTCTCTCTTTCTAATTGTTTTAGGGAAATTCCACAGCAATATTATAAGGATGCTCAAGCATTTCTGTGGAGGGCTACACCTGGAGAGGGACTGAGATTTCCTATTGAGCACATCAACGAACCACCTATAAAAGAGGATATAAGACTGGCTAATGACTGTACAGGAAGTACTGAATGTCATTAATAATGAAGACATGCAAATTAATACCTCCATGAGATACCAATTAAACTCACTAGAATGTCTGAAATCTTAAAAAGCTGGCATGACACATATTGGTGAGAATGTAGCAAAACTCAAAATTTCTTAAATGACTCTTCAACTACTTTGGAGAATTGCATGATAATATTTTATAAAGCTACACTTACAGTACTGAATGATCCAGCAATTACACTTGTAAATATTTACTGATAATAATTGAACACAAAGTCTTATGCAATAATGCTCATAAAAACCATTCAAAATGAACTCTGAAATGAAAATAACCAAATCGCCACCAACAGGGAAATGTAGCTAATGGCCTGTCTGTTTTGTCAAAGATCTGAAAAAATACACAATCGGAAAATTGGCAACAAAAGTATTTGGACAGATCTGCCTGATAGAAACAGTATATAAAGATATTTATATCCTATACCAATACTCACTGAAGAATTACTCTGCTAGAAAAGAATTTTTAAAATAAAGTGAAAAGAATGACAATTTTGTGAATGCTAGGCAGACACTTTTCCCAGGAATGTATGTTATGGCTCACTGTTCTGAATAAAGTGGCCATGATGATAAGAATAGAGGTTAATCCACATGGACTTCCACTCACTAAAGGTGACCTGGTTCTCACCACTGCTGAGTGTCAAATCTGCCAACCTCAGGAATCAAGAATTATTCCTCAGTATGGCAGAAATTAGACCTTCCAACATGGAAGAAGTAGAGTTTTGTTTGTAGTGTAATAGGTATGCACTCTAGGTATAAGTTTAAATTTGTCTCTTCTGTCTGCAATGCTTCTCCCACAATCCATGAACTCACATATTGCTTTATCCATTATCATGATATTAGATTGGTGTGAAAGTAAATGTGGTTTTTGCCATTAAAAGTAATGGCAAATTTTGCCATTTTTGGTTTTTGCCATCAAAAGTAATTGCCATTACATTTTAATGGCAATAACCACGATTACTTTTGTACCAATCTGGTATTACAAATACCATCATGTGTGATCAAGGCACTATACAGAAAGACATTATACAGCATATTAAATATATGCTGTATAATGAGCCCAAAGGCCCACTCTCATGAAACGTACTGGTTTTTGTCATATTCTCTGGTATTCTGAAGCAATGACTTGATAGGATAGCAGATAACCTTTTGAAGACTTAGACTTATACGTGCAGGCAAATGTCTTCTGGGGCACAGTAAGTGTTCTCAATTAGCGATGAATATATTGCCTTGTTTTACCCATAACCAGGATTTATTGGTGTGGCAATTAAGAGGTTGAGACAAGAATGGTTCTACTCACTATCTTTCTTAATTATCTACTAGCAAAATGTTGGCATCTTGTCCCCAGAATTTTAATCTCTACTGATCTAAAGGTCTTAGTTCCAAAGTGAGGAATGCTTCCACCAGAGGATATAACAGATTTTGCTGAACTGGAAGTTGAGACTGGCACATAGACATGCTGGGCTTTCTATAGCAACATATCAACAAGCAAAAAATATTTCACTATGTTGTCTTTGTGATGGATTTTGACTATTAGGAGAAAATTTTATTCTTACTATACAAGGGAGGTAAAAAGGCACACATTCTATACTGCAAAATATCCCGTGCATATACAGTTTTGTACTCACATACACTGTGATTAAAGTAGTTGGAAACCTATAACAAATCAACTTAGAACTAATCTCCCTGATTCTTCAGAAACTTAGGTTAATATTATATTGAGGTGTACCTCACACTTGTTAGAATAACTATTACAAAAAAGAAGAAAGATAACAAACTTTGATGAAGATGTGGAGGAAAGGAGAATCCTTGTACACTGCTGGTGGGGATGTAAATTAGTACATTCATTATGGAAAACTGTGGAGATTCCTCAAAAAACCAAAGAATCTCTTAATGAGCCTAAAATACTTTAGTAAACAGACAGGTTTATTTGTAGAATGTGAGTTCAGGAGCATCTGCATTAACTCAAAAATAGCTCCTATTTCAGCTTGTATTAACCTGAAATGTTTAAATATTAAAGTCATGTTATTGGTCAAACATTAAAAAATAAAAACATATTATCTCATATAAGTTGACTCACTAAGTAGTATGCAATCAAGCATTTTAATTAAATAGAACATCTTAGAATGATATAAAAGGAATACAAATTTGTTTAAAGCGAGGAAATAGTGAAACCATGAAGGGAACTGGTCTTCCAGGAGACACCAAAAAAGCCCTAAGCTCAACTGAGAAGATAGTTCTTCAAACTTTAATGCGTATTACCCACCAAAGTATTCAAAGCTTTAGAATCACTTTAAAATAATTTCCCATCTTCTAAATGTTGTTTTGAGACACCTGCTTATACTTTTTCTTAATACCCTGTATTTAGTAACTCACATGAGACAGTGTACCTAAAGAAAGAATGACTATTATTAAGTGCTGCAGGATGAAAGAGTGAGGGTCGTGATCAACTCAGTATGCCACTGGAGGCTACATGAGTAAATAGCAAACTGTTCTCACGAAAGGAGATTGTTGGCAAACTGACAAACTGCGTCTGCCACCCAGAAGGAATGCTGAGGGCAGCCACACCCCAGGCGCAAGTGTTTCTTGTAATTAGGCACATCTGAAGCCTGTTCTCAATAATGTGAACCTGTGATCAATTAAGCAGCTGACCAATCGTTACCTCCTGCTCCTTGCTCTTTCTACCCAATAAATACGAAGGGCTGTAGAGGCCAGGGGGCTGCCTTTGCTCATTAGAAGAAGGGAGACCTCTTCTTCCCCATGTTACCCTTCCTTTAAAATACTTACTTTTGTTTTAAGTTTTCATTTCTGCGTTTGTCCTCATTTGTTCAGTCCCATAGTAACTGTG
The DNA here is from genome assembly GCF_000001405.40 of Homo sapiens. Lineage (NCBI taxonomy): Eukaryota > Metazoa > Chordata > Mammalia > Primates > Hominidae > Homo > Homo sapiens. Next base: position 88,656,627 of record NC_000013.11, on the reverse strand, counting down.
GCAAACCGCGGCATTAATGTATACATTATACATTTATCTTCTCCAGGTTAATGTTAAATATAATCAGTTACCAAATATGTGCTATAAGCCAGATATTTTATTACCTGGTTTACAAAATTATATTATAAAACTGGCATAATAATGACAATAATTCAACTAAGATTTATATTATGTAATTATAATATAATATAGTCTGTAAAAATTATGTAAATCAGATTTATATCATGTAATTGTAATAAATCTTCACACAGTTTTCTTTTGAATGTATGATCAGTGCTTTCCTATAAAGAATGGAATTGTATACCTTTAAATGAAAGTAAAAGCACCTTGTTGCTTTTAGAAGCAGTATTTCCATTTTAATTTATTCAAATAGCAAAAGTGATTAAAATATTAAAACACATGCTGGCAGTATAAAGATGCCACCATAACAACTATTTGACTCAGAATATTCACCCTCTTTTTTTTCCCCTTTTCTTTCAACAGTGAGAGATTTCCACGCCATCAGTAGTAAATTACTTCAGGAATCGTTGATAGTCTAATCAATTTGACGCAGTAGGAATTAGAAATACGATTAAACAAGTAGAACTAAAAGTGAAGTTGAGATAGCAAGGATAAGAAAAATACAACTGAAAACTATTTTGTGTGTTATCATTTACTTCTCGTAATTGTATAGTAAGTGACACACAATTTCTTAAATTCATCACTCTACAATATAAGCTGCAAATAATATTCATGTTAGTCAAGGTTAATTCTTGGCTCATTAAAGAACTGAATTGAAAATGCCTTGAGCAAAAACAAAATAGAATAAAAGAACAGAAAAGAAGATAAATTTATTAAAACGATGTAAGTAAAGGATGCAACAGTATTTTATGTAACACAAGGGCAGACAGTACATTTAGGCCTCCTGAGGGCTGAGAAACGGGATACAGAAATCTATCAAGGATCAAAGCTTCCAAATCATCAGTCTTTCCCTCTCCCCCTGGAGCCACATGACCTCTCATCTCTGCAGCACTTTGTATGTCTGTTTCATTCTTATCCCTGTAGACTGGCTTTCTCTCTTCCTCAGCAGACGAACACAGCTCTGCAATTTACATTACCTCAAGTTCAGACACAAATGGAAATATAGCAGAATCATTGAAATCGATTTTAAGTTCCTGAGATTATAATTGACTTAATAAAAAGGCAACACTACCATGCTTGATAAACAAGATATTATACTTTATACCCATTAACTTGGAAATAGAAAGTTAAGAAAAAGCACTCTAATCATTAGACTAATAGATTCAAATGCATCCAAACATTTTTGACATATGTGGTTTTAAGGAACAGTATTAGCAAAACATTGTGTTAAATAAACATTAGATATCATCAGTCCTTAACTTTATGTATAGAGGTCTTTTCTACTGAAAAACTTGTGAAAAATAAAGAAATTGATGATACATAACAAAAAAGGAAAGATTTTTGGGTTTCATAGGGCAAAGGTGTGACAGGTATAAAATACACACTTAAATCTATAAATCTACAGTACTTCTTAAGTCTGTATTCTTGACTTCAGTGAAAATAATTATCTTATTTATAGGACAGAAGTGAAGGAGAAATAAAATAGTAAGATAAATGAATTTCCTTGAGAAGAGTTTTTGGTGAGAAAACATCCTGAAGACTGAGCATCATAGAGAATCATATTAGAGATATGACAATACCAAGACAAGCAGTGAATCATATGTCTCCCCTTATGAAAGAAAAAAAAAAGATTTAGCCAGCTTCTTCACAATCCTCAAATAAATAAAGAAATTGAGCAGAAGTTGAACCATGGTGTTCAGAATACCAAGAACTCTATATATATATATATAATATATACATGAAATATATAATATATATAAAATATATAATATATACATATATATGAAAATACAAAATAGTTGGGATAAAACTTTTCTTCATAATTTAGGACACTTGTCTCATTTAGACATTAGAAACAAAAATTGATTACAATTAAACCCAAAAACTTTATTTAAGACAAAAAATAAAATATACCTAAAATTCAATAGAAAATGATGCATATCAGAAGAATGTGTCCACCAAGCAAATTAAAAGAGTAAAAAGATGATTTAAAGTTCTATAGAGAAATACCAAGCTTTGTAAAAACACTGATTAGAATGCAAACAAATTTTAATCTTTTTAGCCAGACAGCAGGAGGACGTAAAGTGAAAACTGACAAATATTAGCAAACAATTAGAAAAACATATTCTTTTAGTTTCAGAAGAAAAACTAAATTTGAAGAAAGCTAAGAACAAATATGTATCATGAAAGCCAAAATACAAGGAAAGTAAAAATATTTCAAAATCTACATTTGGCAATTCTTCAGAAATAATTATTTCGGAAACAATAAGTAATAATTGAAATTTTTGAATGACTCCTTGATGGAAAATTTCAAAAAGGAAAAAAGAAGCTGTTGTCTTCTGAACCACAATTGAATCTTAGCTTCTCTAAAAATAGGCAATAGGATATTTTGTGTTTCCTTATGTAAAACAATATGAATCTCAGTGAATATCTATAAAGTGTTCATTTCAAATTTTTTAAAATAAGGAAACTCCAGATGTACCTTCAATTTTCAACAAATGCAGGGATTACGGAAATTAGCTAAATGATTTTATAAGAGAACAAACAGAAACAGCCAGAATGTGGGGCATTCCAAAAGAAAGTAGGTTTGCAAATAAAAAAGAAAGAAAAAAAGGAAGTGTTCTGGCCTGGCTTAGGGCATGTCACAACTACATGCAGTATGTGAACCTTGGTTAAAATCTTATCCAAAAAATAAATTCTAAATAATAATTTGGAGAAACTCAGAAATATTCAGGGAAATACTACAACAGAATAGCATCATAGTTACATGTGAAAATACCTGTACCATGAAAGACAAATATTGCAGTATATATCAACAAAATACCTTGACCCATGGAAAATTTGTTTGAAATTATTTAGAGAAAAAAGGACAACTAAATCAATTGAAGAAAATTGAAATATTTTGAACCTTGGTAGCATGCACATATGGGGTTTAATTTACCATTTTATTCTACCTCTATATTTGACCATTATTGTAGAAAACAATGAATATTAAATTAAAAAACCTTGTGGGTTATAATCCAAGCAGTTCTCAAATACAATATTGTGTTTAAAAATATACTTCTTAGGAAAAAAAGAAAAAAATTTAATAAATAAAACTTTAATATCATGAATCTGAGAAAAGACAAAATAAAGTAAAAAATAAAAATAACAAATTTGTAAAAATAAAAAGATAATTTAGAAACTTAAACCAACTAAAATACTAGAGTTATTAATTAAATCTTAGATTGGCTCTTTGACAACACAAAAATGTATGCATAGCTTTAGTAATGTAAGAAAAATATTTAATATATATGCATAAATATATAATCTATAAGATGTATATTTTAAATTTGAGATTATAGGGTAATACTTGTACTCAAATACTTGTTTACTATATATCATATGGATTATTTTCTCCTAAGTTATAACTTGTAATAATAAGCTTAAACAAAGAGACAAAATAAAAATTAGATCAAAAAAATGGAAAGGCAGCACAAGACCAAATCTAAAAATAAATGAGATCCACATGGATTATTTATTAATTCATTTTGCAAAGTTAGACTAACATGGAAATTAAACAAAAGCCATATATTAAGAAAAAATTTTAAATGGCACTTAAGAAATGGTGGATCATTCTTTAAAAAAACAAAAGAAAAGTAATAAATTATATACAGATATGAATAACTTCAAAATGTCAAGGGTATTTTACTATAAAATATTAATTTTAGCTTAAAAATTGCAGGTTGACACCTTCACTAAAAGGAAGACAAAAAGCAAGAAAGGGAAGAACATAAAACAACTTGAAAACAAATAACAAAATGGCAGAAGGTAAGTTCTTACTAGTCAATAATAACATTGAATATGAATAGAATAAACTCTCCAGTAAAAAAACATGGAAGGAGCCGGGTGCAGTGCCTCACTTCTGTAATCCCAGCGGCACTTTAGGAGGCTGAGGCAGGCAGATCATCTGAGGCCAGGAGTTTGAGACCAGCCTGGCCAACATGGCAAAATCCTGTCTCTACTAAAAATAAAAAAAACTGGCCAGGCATGGTGGCGGGTGCCTGTAATTCTAGCTATCTGGGAGGCTGAGGCAGGAGAATCACTTGAACCTGGGAGGCAGAGGCTGCAGTATGCCATTGCACTCCAGCCTGGGCAACAAGAGTAAAAACTTCGTTTCAAAAAAAAAAAAAAGAAAGAAAGAAAAAAGAAAACAAAAACAAAACAAAAAAACCATGGAGTGGCTGAATGATAACAAAACAAGACTCAATCATCTGTTACCTACAATTCACCTATGAAGATACACATAGACTGAAAATGGGAATAGAAAAAAAATATTCCATGACAAAGGAAACAAAAAAAAAGAGCAAGAATAGCTATACTTATATCAGATAAAGTAGATTTCAAGACAAAAACTGTAAAAGACAAAGTCCATTATACAATGATAAAGGAGTCAATTCAGTAAGAGGATATAACAATTATAAATACATATACATCCAGGGCTGGAGCATACAGATACATAAATAAAATATTATTAGCACTAAAAAGAGAGACCTTGATATGGTTTGGCTGTATCCCCACTCAAATGTCATCTTGAATTGTAGCTTCCATAATTCCCACATGTTGTTGGGGGGACCTGGTGGGAGCTAATTGAATCGTGGGAGCATTTCCCCCACACTGTTCTCGTGGTAGTGAATAAGTCTCATGAGATCTGACGGTTTTATAAGGGATTTTCCCTTTCACTCGGCTCTCATTGTCTCTTGCCTGTTGCCATGTAAGACATGTCTTGCTTCCCCTTTGCCTTCCACCACAACTGAGAGGCCTCCTCAGCCATGTGGAACTGTGACTCAACTAAACCTCTTTCATTTATAAATTACCCAATCTCAGGTGTGTCTTTGTTAGCAGCATGAGAACAGACTAATACAGACCTCAATACAATAATAGCTGGAGACTTCAACAGCCCGCTTTCAGCATTGGACAGATCTTCTAGCCAGAAAATCAATATAGAAATATCAGATTTAATCTGCACTGCAGAACAAATGCACCTAATAGATATTTACAGAACATTTCATTCAACAGCTATAGAATACATATTCTTCTCCTTAGCACATGAATTATTCTGGAGGATACACCATATTTAGGTCACAAAACAAGTCTTAAAACATTCAAAAAAACTAAAGTCAAATCAAGTATCTTCTCTGACTACAATGGAATAAAACTGGAAATCAATAATGAGGAATTTTGGAAACTATGTAAACTCATGGAAATTAAACAATATGCTCTGAAATAACCAGTGGATCAATGAATAAATTAAACAGAAAATTGAAATATTTTTTGGCATAGATGATAATGGAAACTAAACATACCAAGGCCTATGGGATATACTGAAAACAGACTAAGAAGTAAATTTATATCTATAAATGTCTACAAAAAAGAAAAATTCTCAAATAGATAACCTAACGATGCATCTTAAAGAGCAAGAGCAGATCAAACCCCAAATTGGTAGAAGAAAATAAATAATGAAGATCAGAGCAGAAATAAATACGTGAATTTAAAATGAAGGAAAAATACAAAAGATCAAGGAAAGTAGTTTGTTGTTTGAAAAGATAAACAAAACTGAAAAACCTTTAGCCAGACTAGCAAAGAACAAGAAGATCCAAATAAAATCAGAGATGATAAAAAGAGACATTACAACTGATGCTGAAGAAATTCAAAGGATCATTGGTGAATAATATGAGCAAGTATATGCCAATAAATTGGAAAATCTAGAAGAAAAGGAATAATTCCTAGACCCATCTCACCTACCAAGATTGAACCATGAATAAATTAAAAACCTGAGCAGACAAATAACAAGTAACAAGATCAAAACTGTAATTAAAATGCCTCTCAATAAAGAAAAATCTGGGATCTGATAGCTTCACTGTTTAATTCTACCAACCATATAAAGAACTGATACAAATCCTATTCAAACTATTCTGCAAGTAGAGGAGAAAAGAAGACATTCAAACTCAATCTGTGAGGTCACAATTACTCTATTACCAACACTAGACAAAGATAGTTCAAAAAAGGAGAACTACAGGACAATATCTCTGATGAATATATTGATGCAAAATTCCTCAAGAAAATGCTAACAAAGTACATTGAAAAGGTCATTCATGATGATCAAGTGGGATTTATCCTAGGGATGCAAGTATGGTTCAACATATGCAAATAATGTCATACATCATAGCAATAGAATGAAGGAAAAAACTATATAATTATTTCAATTAGTGCTGAAAAAGCTTTTGATAAACTTCAACATCTCTTCATGATAAAAACTAAAAATACTAAAAATATTGGGTATAGAAGGAACATACCTAAAAACAATAAAAGCCGTATACAACAGGCCCACAGGCCCATATAAGACAGCTAGTATTGTTGTGGCCTTTTCACTTCCATTGTTCAGCAAGTGAGAGGAAGTGGAGCCCAGTGACTACTTTCCTCCTGTTTTTTGGTGAGCAAGAGGAAGTGCTACAGCTCTTTTACTCCCATCACCTGCAGCTCGGTGAGCAGGAGAATTACAAGTTTTTCACTCCTACAATTCAGCAAGTTCCAAATTTGTGTTCTGCGACCAAGAAGAATAAGGTATGCAGACGCCAGACAGTGAGTAAGGCAGGGCAGAATTTTATTGAGCAACAGAAAGAAAGCTCTCAGCTGCGAAAGGGGACCTGAAAGTGAGTAGCCATCTGCGAGGCTGAGTCCAGGGTTTTTATAAACTTACAAATGGGGAGTGCATGTTGACAGGCCCAGGGTGGGCTTGAAAAAAAAAAAACACCATTTGATTGGTTAACAGGCATCCTTCAGGAGGAACCAATCAAAAGAGAGTGGGTAAGATGGGGATGGAAGTTCTCACTGTAGTTGTAGACTCTATCCAGAACTGGCAGCTCTGTTTACAGGCTTTAAACTGTTCTTGGCTTGATGGTCAGATTTCACCAGGGCCCTTTCCCTGTCTGCCTAGAAATCTGTCTGTCTCCTGTCCCTATTAAGCCCTGCTCTGAGTATATCTCACTGTCATTAGTATAGGAATGATGACTGCTTTGACTGCTTCATGCTAACAGGAGATGTTGTTTTGGGAAAATAGCAGTCAGATCTCTCTTAGAGGCCTATGTAAGGGACCCCAGTTAAACAGAAACAAATTTTACCAGGAGGTTAAGTATGCATGTAACTAATGTGGGTATTATACAAAGAGGAGCCAAAAGGGAAAAAGGTAGTGCCAGAGATAACAGAAATAAGAAGTAAAATATACTAATCATTCTGAAAACAAAGTTGTGGCCAGAGCTGTTTCACTCTTGTGAAAGAAATTAAATTTGGTATGGGGCAGACACCTTATGGTGAAAAACAGAAAAGAGACAAGGACAGCATGTATAGTCAAGAGTATAAAGAAGATACCATGGAAGGTTAATTATTCACACTTATCTTTTATGATCTCTAGCTTGAGGCTCCTGATTTTTTCGCATTTTGCTTCAGTCACTCTTCTGGGTGAACAGAGGTAATTCCCTCAGTTCCCAAGCCCTTGAGTATAATGAATCCAAAAATATATTCCAGTGACTTTCACTGCAAAAGGAGTAGAGAGAAGTAGAGTATAAGCTTTCTCCCAATCCAGTTCTAGAAAGGAGAAAGAGGATGAAGAGCCTTTATTAGTACTAAGTCCCCTGGGTTGAATAGAGGTAGTCCTAGTTTACAAGGTTGGGCCTCTGAGAGTTGTTTCAGTTCCTGTTGGAAATGGGCCAAAAAAGTTACATGTTTAATCAAATCAGAGGTTTCTTTGTCTAGCAAGAAATCATTGGCGAGAAAAGATCATCCACACATCATGTGGAAAGGAATTAAACCTAGCTTTGAAGGGGTGTTTCTAAAATATAGTAGGGCCATGGGAGAAGAGTAATCCAGGGGACATGGGTCTCTTGAGACAGTTTTCTGAGGTGCCTTTTGATAATATTATCTGTCTTTTCTACTTTTCCTGAGGATTGTGGTTTCTAAGCACAATGACGATGTTATTGTATGCCTAGTGCCTTTGAGACCCCCGGGTGACAACTGCCTTGAACCAGGAGCCATTATTGCATTGGAGGTACTTAGGAAGTCCAATGAAAGGAATTATCTCATTAATTAGTACTTTTATTACCTCATAGGCTTTCTCTGTCCGACATGCAAATGCTTTTACCCAGTTAGTGAAGGTTTTACCCATCCCAGGAGGTACAGGATGCCCCTTATCTTTGGCATATGAGTGAAATCCATCTGCCAGTTCTCCTCTGGGTAGCATCCCATTCTTTGGATTCTAGGGAGAAAGATTTGTTGATTTGGGATTATTTTTGAGGCAAGTCTCACAAACATTAATGGCCTGTTTGACCATTTTTAACAGATTTTTACCTGAGAACAACCATTGGGCCAATTGATAGGTTTTATTCTTTCCTAGATGGAAGGCTTGGTAAAAGATTTTAAAATCTTTACATTGCCCAGAAGCTGGTAGATAAAGTTTGCCATCCTCCGATTGTAGCCATCCCTTCCTATTTTCTCGTTTTAGGGGATTTTGTCTCCAGTTAAAGAAAGAGGTCGGATCCTTAAGCGGATGTGGACCAGTATGGCAGTTGTGGCTCAACCAATTTTCCCTTTAGTTGCCTAAACTTCTGGATTAATATTGGTCTCCAACAGTGGGAGACAAATAAATCTGCCTTGGAGCCATAAGAATGGTAGTTACCATAAGATATCTCTTCATAGCATAGGAGTTGGGCTTTTAGGCATGATCAAAATAGCATGAGGAAACAAGACATATCTCCAACTATAATAAGGGGTTGGAAAAACTATTCGGTTAAAGGCTTTCCTGAAATGCCCTATCAGGAGGAGGGGAGTCGTGGATTGGGGAGGAGAACAGAAATGGCTACTCCAGTATACAGGAGGAAGTCCACCTTCTTCCTTTCGACCTCCAGAATCACCCAGGTTCCTGGATGGTAATGGTGGTCTGAGCCATCGGAGCTAGGGAGAGTGGCCCTGGGACCCATCAGTCCTGCTCGACCATTTGGGAGACTGGCTCTGGAGTTGGTGACCTGCATCTCTGGGGACTGTCCACCCTCCGGTTGTCCCCTCCACAGATTGTACAAGGTCAAGGTGGCTTTCTCATGCTGTCTAGGAAGTTCTTCTTAAAGTGCCCTGGCTTTTGTAGCAGTTAACAGGTGCCTCTTGGGGATTCTGGGGTTTATAAGCCCAAAATGTGGCCATTAGAGCTGCTGCCTTTTTTGTGTGTCTCCTCTCTTTTGAGCCTCCTCCTGATCCCTATTGTAAACGATCGAGGTGGCCACTTTCAAGAGGTTATCTAAAATACTATCTGGTCCTATGGCTTCTTCCTGCAGCTTCTTCCTGATATCAGGTGGTTCCTGAGTAATAAACTTATCCTTTAAAATTACTTATCCTTCAACTAAGTCAGGAGATAGATAGTTGTGCTTTACCAAGGCCTCTCAGCCTTTCCAGGAAGGCAGTGGGATTCTCATCTGATACTTGGTCTATCATGGATAGTTTGGAGTAATTGAGAGGTTCATGTCTAGTCCTTTGCAAGCCCTCCAATATGCACATCCGAAAGTGTTTCCTCCTCCAATCTACCTTGTCATCATCAGCGTCCCATTTAGGGTCCTCCAATGGTACTACTTTTTTTCCAATTGGATAAGTTTCTTCCTCTTCCTTGGCACTATATGAGACACAAAGCTCATCCCAACTTCTCTGCCACTTGCAGGGCTGTCTGCTTCTCAGCAGCAGACAGTGTTTGATTAAAAACTAACATAACACCCTTCCAGGAGAGTTTAAATGCTTGGATTAAATTCTGGAAAGCCTCTATATAACTGCCAGGTCGTGTAAAAGGTTTCCAAGATCTCCCTGAAATTGTCTTCAGTCCTATAGAGAAAAGGGGACCATATTCATGAGGCATCCCTTGTAGGGGCTAAGTGAGGCTGGGACCCACCTAAGATGAAGTGTTTTAGGATTTGGACAAGCTGGAAAGAGAACCTGACTAGAGAATACATTATAAACCAGCAGGAGCAAGAACAAGGGGAGCTGACTTGCTCACTGGAGGCACCACTGGGGTTTGCTTCCGTAATTTCTACGGATTGTCTTTTGTAGCCACTCCTGAGATGACCACTAGGAGGTCTAGATCAATCCTACAATGTTGGCAAAGTTCAGATTATCCTGCAAGGCAAAGAAAGCCTGCACATATGGGACCTCAGAACATTTACCCTCATGTTTACAGAAAAGGTCCAGCTGCAGGATAGTTTTAACATTAATACTTCCCTCCAGAGGCCAAACTTCTCTGTCCAGCAGTTTATAATCTAGCCAAGTCTATGTGCAAGGGAACACAAGGCATTTTTTTTCCAGTGTCTGAGGTTCAAAAGAGTTCCAGTGATTCAGGATGCACTTCAGTGGAGTGCAGGCTGAAGATGAGTTGTTACCCATCTGGAAAGAGAGGGGGAAAAGGCATCCCTTAGTTCCTTTCTCTCTTCCTGATAAATTCCAAGGTATATGAGGGAGAGAAAAAAATACATTCCTTTCTTTCTTCTCTCCACACTTACCTGAGTCATTGTGGCCACCATAGGCATCTCCCATGTGTTGTGGGAAGTCAGGGACCCCAAATGGAGGGACTGGCTGAAGCCATGGCAGAAGAACATAAATTATGAAGATTTCATGAACATTTATTAGTTCCCCAAACTAATACTTTTATAATTTCTTATGCCTGTCTTTACTGCAGTCTCTGAACATAAATTGTGAAGATTTCATGGACACTAATCACTTCCCCAATCAATACACTTGTAATTTCCTATGCCTGTCTTTACTTTAATCTCTTAATCCCATCATCTTCATAAGCTGAGGAGGATGTATGTCACCTCAGGACCCTGTGATGATTGTGTTAACTGCACAAATTGTTTGTAGAGCATGTGTGTTTGAACAATATGAAATCTGGGCACCTTGAAAAAAGAACAGGATAAGAGCAGTATTCAGGGAATAAGAGAGATAACCTTAAACTCTGACTGCCAGTGAGCCAGGTGGAACAGAGCCGTATTTCTCTTCTTTCAAAAGCAAATGGGAGAAATATCACTGAATTCTTTTTCTCAGCAAGGAACATCCCTGAGAAAGAGAATGCGTCCCTGAGGGGAGGCCCCTGAAATGGCCGCTTTGGGGACGGCTGTCTTTCACGGTCATAGCGGAGGTATGAAATAAGCCCTGGTCTCCCGTAGTGCTCCCAGGCTTATTAGGACGAGGAAATTCCCACCTGATATATTTTGGCCAGACCGGTTGTCTGCTCTCAAACCCTGTCTCCTGATAAGATGTTATCAATGACAATGCGTGCCCAAAACTTCATAAGCAATTTTAATTTTGCCCCGGTCCTGTAGTCCTGTGATCTTGCCCTGCCTCCATTTGTCTTGTGATATCTTATTACCTTGTGAAGCATGTGATCTCTGTGACCCACACCCTATTCATACACTCCCTCCCCTTTTGAAAATCACTAATAAAAACTTGCTGGTTTTGTGGCTTGGGGGGCATCATGGAACCTGCCAACATGGGATGTCTCCCCCGGACACCCAGCTTTAAAATTTCTCTCTTTTGTACTCTCTCCCTTTACTTCTCAGACTGGCTGACACTTAGGGAAAATAGAAAAGAACCTATGTGAAATATTGGGGGTGAATTTCGCCCAATACCCTTGGATGCAAGTGTGACCTCCAACCATGGAGCAAGAGGGTCCAAAAGCAGGGATAGTCACACTTACCTACTCACACCCTGACCTGCTCCTGCTAGTAACCTTTGGGTTCCCTGGACCTCATCTATGCCATGGATGCAAGCAAGTCTTCCACCCATGAAACAGGAAGGCCTAGTTGGCAGGGATAGTTATGCTTACCTGTGCTGTGCCCTAGCTTTCCACTATTGACTGGCTCTGGGTTCCACAGACCTAGTTCTCCTTTTAGGGCTCCAAACTGAACCTTGGAAAATACATTGGAGTAATGCTAAGGTGAAGCTGTGGAACCAGCTCCTCCTTGAAAAAAGGGGAAAAAAAAAGGGAGTCTTGGGAATTGGGGACCTAGTCTAATAAGATGCTTCTCAAAAAGAAAAAATGAATCCCTCACATAGAAAAGCTCCTTGTATTCACAAGATATGTTGACTCCTGATATGGTGAAAACAAACAAAAAAATCCTAAAATATAAAGGAGGGAAGAGGCCTGGAGGAAACAGACTCTTGCCTTATGCTAATGGTTTTTTTCATCAGGGGAAAGAAAACTCTCTTAATTGTCACATCCTCCTTTTTCTAAGAATAAACAGAAACAGCGTTGTTCTGGAATATGCTCCTTTTGACTAAGCCAAGTGGTCATTCTACTCAAGTAATATAATTTCTTTGGGTTGTAAGAAAACCTGCACCATTGTATATAAAGAGGGAATAGCAACCACGACAGTCTCCAAAGAAAGAAAATGATATAGGAAAGACTGGAAGTCTTTATTTGACACCTAAATGGACTGTCAGGAATTGGAGTCAATCTAGGGGCCTTCAGGTCCCACCAAATTGTGGCCTTGGCCAGATGCTTTCAGTTGCACCAGAACATTGTTCTATTCCCATGTGATGGCTAGACTTTCATGAAGGGACACTGGATTGGAACACAGCCAACATTCCCAACACCCAAGGGTGAAGGGGAATTGACAAAGTCCTCCCCAGCAAGCTGGTCCTCTGAGTCTTGTAGTGGATAGCAGCCATGCTATCCACTCTTAACTGGCTGACAGAGACCTGGTGTTTTATCTGCCTTCAGGAAAATATCTGAAGACAAGAAACCTCAGAATTAAAGTAGAGTCATAAGTCCTTTCTTACTCCCCCTTCTGAAGATCCTGGACAAGCCCCCAGAAATGTAACGGCTTTTTTACTCCCATAGTTTGGCAAGCATGAGGAGGTGGCATCCAGTGGTTATTTCTCTCCTGTTGTTCAGTGTGCAGGACAGAGTGTTACAGCTCTTTTACTCACACAGATCACAGCTCAGCAATCAGAAGCATTACAGCTCTTTTGCTCCCACAGTTTGGCGAGTTCTGGGTTCTTGTCCCCTGATCAAGAAGAATGAGGTATGTGGAAAATGGAGAGCAAGTAAGGCAGGGTAGAATTTTATTGAGTGGTAGAAAGAAAGCTCTCAGCTGCAAGAGGGGACCTGAAAGCAGGTAGCTGCCTGTGAGCCTGAGTTTGGGGTTTTTGTATGCTTAGAATGGGGGAGTGCATGCTGATTGGTCCATGGGTGGGCTTGGAAAAAGCACCATTTGATTGGTTAACAGGCATCATTCAGAAGAACCCAATCAAAAGAGAGTGAGTAAGATGGGGATGGAAGTTCTCACTTTGGTTGTGGACTCTATCCAGAAATGGCAGCTCAGTTTTCAGGCTTTAAACTGTCCATGTTTTGAAGATTGGGTTTCACCAGAGACCCATCCCTTTCTCCTAGGAATCTGTTTCCTGTTGCTATCAGTATCATACTTAATGGGGAATAACTAAAAGCTTTTCCTCTAAGATCTGGAACATGACAAGGATGCCCATGTTTACCACTGTTATTCAACATCATACTAGAGTTCCTAGTTAGAGCAAGAAGAAAACAGAAAGAAATAAAGAACATTAAAATTGGGATGGTATCCCAGCACTTTGGGAGGCTGCGACAGGCAGATCACAGTCAGGAGATCGAGACCATCCTGGCTAACATGGTGAAACCCCGTCTCTACTAAAAACACCAAAAAAATTAGCCAAGCATGATGGTGAGTGCCTGTAGTCCCAGGTACTCGGGAGGCTGAGGCAGGAGAATGGCGAGAACCCAGGAGGCGGAGCTTGCAGTGAGCCAAGATCGCACCACTGCACTCCAGCCTGGGCAACAGAGCGAGACTCCAGCTCAAAAAAAAAAAAAATTGGGATGGTAGAAGTCATATTATTCTTGTTTGCAGATAACATGGTCTTATATTTGGAAAAACCTGAAAACTCCACCAAATTATATTAGAAATGATAAACATATTTAGTAAAGTTCAGACTACAACATCAACATACAAAAATTATTTGCATTTCTCTATGCCAAGAGGGAACAGTCTAAAATAAGTCAATAAAACTAATCCAATTCACAATAGCCACAAATAGAACTAAATACCTAGTAATCAAACCAAAGTAAAAAACCTCAACAATGAAAATTATAAAACACTGATAAAAGAAACTGAATAGAGCACACAAAAAATGGAAAGACATTACATGCCCATGAATTGGAAGAATTAATATTGTTAAAATGTCCATGCTACCCAAAGCAATCTACAGATTCAATGCAACCCCTATCAAAATACCAACGACATTACTCACAGAAACAGATAAAAGCAATTCTAAAATGTATATGAAACCACAAAAGACCCAGAATGGCCAAAGCGATCCTGAGAAAAAAGAACAAAACTGGAGGAATCACATTTCCAGAGTTTAAATTATACTATAGAACTATAGTAATGAAAAGAGCATGATACTGGGTTAAAAAACAGACATATAGACAAATGAAACAGAATAGAGACCTCAGAAACAAATGTGCAGACCTACAGCAAATTCATTTTTGGCAAAGATACCAAGAGCATACATTGAGGAAAATACAGTTTCTTCAATAAATAGGCCTGGGAGATTTTGATACCTGCATACGGAAGAGTGAAACTAGACTCCTGTCTCTCTTCATGTACAAAAACAAAATCAAAATTGATTAAATACTTAAATCTAAGACTTCAAACTATGAAATTTACTACAAGAAAACATTGGGAAACAACACAAGGACATTGGTCTAGGTGAAAATTTCTTGAGATATACCCCACAAGCACAGGCAACCAAAGCAAAAGTGGACAAGTGGGATCACATCAAGTCAAAAAGCTTCTACACAGCAAAGGAAAGAACAAACAAAATGAAAAGAAAACCCACAGAATGAGAGAAAATATTTACAAACTACCTATCTGACAAAGGATTAATAATGAAAATATATAAGGAGCACAAACAACTCTGTAGAAAAATATCTAATAATCTGATTTTAAAATGGGCAAAATATTTCAATAGACTTTTCTCAAAAGAATACATACCAATAGCAAATAG
Organism: Homo sapiens; assembly: GCF_000001405.40. Taxonomy (NCBI): domain Eukaryota; kingdom Metazoa; phylum Chordata; class Mammalia; order Primates; family Hominidae; genus Homo; species Homo sapiens. Next base: position 88,641,405 of record NC_000013.11, on the reverse strand, counting down.
GCATATGAAAAGGTGTTCAACATCATTGATCATCAGATAAATGAAAAACAAAACTACAGTGAGGTATCATCTCACCACAGTTAAATGGCTTTTATCCAAAAGTTAGGCAATAACAAATGCTGGTGAGAATGTGGAGATAAGAGAATCCTCGTATATTGTTGATGGGCATGTGAATTAGTACAATAAAAAAAACCCTAAAAATAGAGCTACCATGCAATCCAGAAATCTCACTATGGCTATATACCAAAAATAAATGAAATCAGTATATTGGAGAGACATCTGTACTCCCACATTTGTTGCAGCACTGTTCACAACAGCCACAATTTGGAATCAACATGAGTATCCATCAACAGATGAATTGATAAACAAAATGTACATATACATAATGAGTACTATTCAGCCATAAAATGAATGAGATCCTGTAATTTGTAACAACATGGATGAAAAATGTTAAGTAAAATAAGCAAGGTATGGAAAGACAAACATCACATGCTCTTACTTATTTGTGGAGTCTAATAAAAGTCAAAACAATTGAACTCATGGAGACAGAGTAGAAGGATGGTTAGCAGAGGCTGGCTAAGCTAGTGGGGGAGTTGGGGGCCATGGATATGGTTAATGGTGCAAAAAATTAGAATGAATGAATAAGACCTAGTATTTGGTAGTACCGAAAGGTAACTATAGTCAATAATAATTTAACTGTACATATAAAATAACTGAAAGAGTACAATTGTACTTTTTTTGTAACACGAAGGATGAATGCTTGAGGGGATGGATATCCCATTTTCCATGATATGATTATTATATATTGCATGACTGTATCAAAGCATCTCACGTACTCCATAAGTTTATACACCTAGTATGTACCTACAAAAATTAAAAATTAAAAAATGTAAATTGAGAACTTGCTGAAATGTGTTATCCACACAAATACCTCATGAAATGAAACAAAAAGATGCACTAAAGTAAAATATGTGCTACAAGTATGAATGCTTATATATACACTCTAAGTCAATTAAGGAAATTTTCTGTGTAACAGAAGCTTTTAAATAAATTTAGAAGAGGAAAACCAAGAGAAAGATATAGCAGCAAAGCAAAGTCTTCACCAGGGAGGCCTGAATGCTAACACCTCTGCTCTCAGCCTGGTCAGAGTCATCCACACCGGAAGCCATAAGCCCAGCTGGATCTGACTTTGCCAGAGATATATGTTCTAAAAATGCTCATATTTAAAAAATGACAATTGGTCTTATAAAGTATTTATAAGCATTGTATGAAGATTTCAGAAGTTAAAGTATAATTTTAAAAAAATCAGAAGACTGGCAGTTACATCAGGGCTCTAATGATTAGTGAATACGAGTTCCAAAAGTAGAAAGTAAACAAAACAAAACAAAACAAAACAAAAACTGGAGTGCTTGAAGTATTGATGGTCATTCCAAACACTGAAAAGGACAAATATTTTCCCTTTGAAAAAGAGAGTTTAAAAAATCCTCATAATTATTGTTCTAATAAGAATTTTTAAATAATTGATGTGAAGATTATTTTTGGGTTTCTGGAATAAGTGTACCAGAATATTTTAGATTTTTTTCAAAGAAAAAAATAAGAAAATTTTGTCTTACCAAGTAACAAAAAAAATTATAAAATGTATTATTATCACAATAATATAATTCTATAGTAGAACTAAGGCATAGCAGAGAAAATTTGGAAACAACTTTATAAATATATATTAATTAAACAGTGGAAAATAAATTCAGACAAGTAAAGGCATTTTTAATAATTAATAATGCAGCAATGGCCATTTATTTGGAAAAATGTAGACTACAAAAACATGTTGGTTACAAAACTGGCAACTGGTTTAAATTGATTAAACGAAAAACTACAAAATGGTTAGTTGAATAAATAAGAAAAAGCTATCAATTTGGAATACATTTTCCATTAGACTTCTATTGCTGCTGTAACAATTACTTCACCAATTTGATGACTGAAAGTAACACACATTTATTCTCTTATTATTTTAGAGGCCAAAGTCCAAAGTGGGTTCTATTAGTCTGAAATCAAGGTACCTGCAGGGCTTCACTCTTTCTTCAGGCTCTAGGAGGTAATCTGTTTCCTTGCCTTTTGCAGCTTCTATAGCTGCATTTCTTGTCTGATGGCACCTTCCTCCACTTTTGTCTTAGTCCATTTGGACTGCTATGATAAAATGCCATAAACTGAGTAACTTATGAACAACAAAAATTTATTTCTCACAGTTCTGGAGATTGAGAAGTCCAAGATCAAGGCATGAAAAGATTTCAGTAACTAGCAGGGGCCTACATTCTGGTTCATAATATTGCCTTTTAGCTGCGTCTTCTTTTGGTGGAAAAAGCAAGGCATCTCTCTGGGGCCTATAAGGGCACTATTCTATTCATGAGGGCCCCACCCTCATCATCTAATGACCTCCCAAAGTTCCTACTTCCTAATAGATTGCATTGGATACATTTTGAGAAAGACGCAACCATTAAGACCACAACAATCTTTGTTCAAAGCCATCAGTGCAGCATCTTCAAATCTCTCTTTGCTATGTTTTCAGAATGCATTCTCTCTCATAAAGACCCTTGTCGTTACATAGGACCATAATTCCGGATATCTTTACACTTCAATATCCTTAATTTAATCAAATCTGCAAAGTCCCTTTTGCCAATTTAATTAACATATTAGGATATGGAGATCTTGGGCATTATTAGTCAGCCTATCACAGATATCTTCTTTCTCAAAATAGTGTGAAAATACACATAAAAACAAGTACTGTTAGATTTCATGACATTAATAAACACCTATAAAGCAAAGGATACTACCATAAAGTTACATATCAAGAGGCAGATTGAAAGAAATCATTAGCTATGTTTTAAACAAGTATTATTATACAACATATTAAAAATTTGACAAAAATTAAAAATTAAAAAAATTAATAGATGCATAGTCAAACTAAATATAAATGAGTAATAAAAATCTGAAAAGATGATTAGCATCATGGATCAGAAAAAACAAAATGTTTCAAATTATTACTTTTTACCATCAAAATTCAAAATAAAATCAGATTGAACATGTAATCATTAGTATATATTGGGTAAACATTATGATAGAAAAGTCAATATTTTTTCAAATAAAATATGTCTGAATTTTGACACAAGACTTCCATTTTTGATATTTACTCTTGATAGATATTTGTCCATACACCCAAAAGAACATGTGAAATAATATACTGTTAGATTTTTCTTAATGTGTGATTGCACAATATCTGTAAAATCAAGATGGCTTTTAGTAGAGAAATCTTTAAATAAATAGTTATGTAAATGCTAGAGCACGCTATGTAATAGTTAAATAATCAAGCAAAATGATATCAATAGATATGAAATTATCTCTATATCATTAATTTGAAAAGACAAGGATGCTGTATTTTGTTTATGATATATATATACACATTTATCAATTTCTTCAACAGAAACTAGAGTAAGGTTGCAGATTGAGCAAACAATATTTCAACATACACAGTTAAATTTGGATTTTAGATAAACCATAACTATTCAATATCATATATTTGACTGTTTTTTGCCTCAGTTATACAATTTTAAGTTGGATTTTAACAGTTTCAACTTCTCGAAAAGTTTCATGTTTCAAGAATTAATGTGTTTTGTCAATATTTCACTAATAAAAATGTAAAACCTGTTGTAATAATAGCTTCCAGTAGCACAGATTATACACAGATTTATTAATAAATATACTACTCTCATAAATAATTAATGTAGCATTACAAGTAGTGCAATGTTCAATTCCTGATATTTTTAAAGATCTCTAGCAGTAATTAAATCTCAAGTGTTTACTGGATTTCTAAATTATTTTGTACTACATATTTTTTGTGTCACCATAAGAACATATTTTTTTTTCTTAACTATATTGCAAGAGCCTTAAAGACAGGACATTTATTTCTTAATTTTTCCCTAAGTACATCGTGTATAATAAAATATTATACTTAGTAGACTTCTGTAAAAATTTTGCTGGATTTCTGACAAGTATTATAAATTTTCACACAAACTTTAAGGCTTAGATTTATCACAATTTCTAAAAATGTTTTGAAATGTGATTTTTACTTTTATTCTGAGTGGTATTCTCTTTAAATTCTAATATAGCAACTTTATTAAGATTACATTATTTTTGATTACATAATAGTTCATTTGGATTACATAATAGTTATTTAAAAATATTTATTCAGGTGAAATAATTTCTTTCTCTTTTATGAATATTGACTGAAACTCCAAGTTCAGTTAAAAGGAATTAAAGTAAAAGCATGTGGATGGATAGCTACCATCTTTCACCATTGCTGAGTGTCAATTGAAAGTGCAGAATCTCTGAATTGTAGGCTTTAAGCTTTAACTCCTTTAACCAAAGATTGCTTAAGCGGTGGCTCACGCCTGTAATCCCAGCACTTTGGGAGGCCAAGGCGGGCGGATCACGAGGTCAGGAGATCGAGACCATCCTGGCCAACATGGTAAAACCCCGTCTATACTAAAAATACAAAAGCAAATTAGCCGGGCGTGGTGGCAGGCACCTGTAGTCCCAGCTACTTGGGAGGCTGAGGCAGGAGAATGGCGTGAACCTGAAAGGCTGAGCTTGCAGTGAGCTGAGATCGCGCCACTGCACTCCAGCCTGGGCGACAGAGCGAGACTGTGTCTCAAAAAAAAAAAAAAAAAAAAAAAGATTGCTTACTCTATCTCTTGGATCTTTTTGTTCTGTTCTTGATTTTTGTTCAGATATAATATTAAGCTGGTTGCATTTGTGTGTGCCTATAGTTTCAGCAACTCAGGAGGCTGAGGCAGGAGGATCGCTTGGGCCCAGGAGTTTGAGAGCAGTCTGGGCAGCATAGTAAGACCCTATCTAAAAAAAAAAAAGAAAAAAAAAGAAAGAAAAGAAAAGAAAACGAAAAGAAAGAGAAGGCAAAACTTTTCAACATACCTTCTTGAACTCTATTCAGTGAAAATCTATGGTAGGTGAGCCCTGTATATTAATTCCGGAAAGCATTTACCATTGAAATGGCAGATGAATGTTTAAACACTATCAAGTTATAAAAGAACATAGTTAGTTAAGACAGTGAAAACACAGTCTGTATTGATTTAAACACAGTGCATCTTATGGAAATTCAATGATTTCTACTGTGGTAGCAATCCCCATCCAGAAAGAAGTTGGAGAGCTCTCAAAGACACACTATGTGGCAAATTTTTATGTGTCTGTGTGTGTATACATATAATTTTTAAAAATTTAAAAATTTGCCAGTAGTTCATGGTATACTTATAATGAATAATGCAAATAAGGAATAAAAATTTTTCATGTACTATGAAACTAAGGAAACATCACTCAAGGCCTTTCTCCTTTCCTCTGACTTTTCTTCCGTCACAATTTATCTTGAGTCCAGTGAAATAGACACAGAAGGATTCTTTGGGATCTGGCTTAGAGAAAGGTGATTTGAAAATAGACAATTTTTATAACAACTTAGAAAAATGTTTTGATACATCAACTAAAAAATAAGAATAAATTAATGATTCTAGCTTGGAAGCATATAGGTAACTTTGTTTGCCAAATATAAATTTATGTATTTTTAAAAATAAGATAAATTTCAGGTAAATGTAATTGGCATGTAAAACAAATTTGATATAAATTTATAAAACATTTTTCTGATATTAAGAAGCAAATTCTAACATTCTCAGATTATAGCAAAAGCAGAAATTTATTAAAAGAAAACTATAAGAAATGAAATAATAAATGATCACTTTGATTTTTAGATAATTCATAAAAATGATAAATTATAAAATACATTAAAAATTGAAATCCATGAAAATTTGGCATAAAATATTGGAATTTTATTATTAAAAATATTAAAAAATTAATATTAAAATAAATTTTAAAACTAATGATATAAAAATCAAAATGCTTAATAATATAGTTATCTCAAATGTGTTCTGAATTTGTTGCTGCTCAAGAGTACACAAAAAAGCAAAATATACTATAACTTACATGTGAAAAAAATGATGTCTTCCAATATTTGATACCAACAATAATTCTGTATATTTGCAATATTTCACTAATACAAACTGTAAATTTGAAAGATAGTTATATAAAACATCCTAAATAACAATAAATTTTGATATACCATGCTAGAATAAACTTAAAATTTTCTCTTTAGTGTCTTTAATGATACAGTATAGTTCCCATGTAAAGTGCTGATTATAAGGAGTATAAAGCCAAAATTATCATTATAATTAGTAGCACATGATGAATTAAAGTAATATAATTACATCAAAATTTTTGTTAAGTGTTTATTATAATAATTTTACATTTTCTTAAACTAAATCCCTTAATGATATTAATAGGGCTTTACTACATGTTCATGGTTAATTACTATAGGCATACTTTGGAGAGATTGTGTATTTGATTTTAGACCATGACAATAAAGCCAATATTACAATAAAGCAAGTCACACAAATTTTTTGGTTTCCCAGTGCTTATAAAAGTTATGTTTACATTATACTATAGTCTATTAAATGTGCAACAGCATTATATGTAAAAAAAGTACGTATCTTAATTTGAAAATATTTTATTGATACAACATGCTAACAATCATGCGATTTTCAATTTATTTTACCCATGTCCATCAAGGAATCACTATTTATGGCAGCTACAGCCTTTTGAAATGTATTTCTTAACTAATAACACTTGAAGATCAAAATTACTCCTTGAGCCATGGGCTGTAGAATGAATGTTCTGTTAGTGGGCATGAACACATCATTAATCTTTTTGTACATTTCCTTCAGAGCTTTTGGGCAACCAGGTACAATGTTAGTTGTAATATTTTGAAAGAAATATTTGTCTCTGAGCAGTAGGTCTCAATGTGGGCTTAAAATATTCAGCAAACCATGCTATAAACAGATATGCTATCATTCAGGCTTTGTTGATTCATTTATAGGACATAGAGTAGATTTAGCATAATTTTTAATGGTTCTAGGATTTTCAGAATGATACATGAGCTTTGACTTCAACTTCAAGTCACCAGATGCATTAGCCACTAACAAGAGAGTCAGCCTGATCTTTGAAGTTTTGAAGCCAGTCATTGATTTCTCCCTATGTAGGAAACTCCTAGATGACATTTTTCTTCCCACTAAAAGGCTTCGTTCTACATTGAAAACTGGATGTCTAACTCCAGGACGTCGGTCTTTGCAAAAACTTTTTGAGTAAGATCTCAAAAGCACAAGCAACCAAAGCAAAAATGGACAAATGGGACCACATTTAGCTAAAAAGTTTCTGCATAGCAAAGGAAACAATCAACAAAGTGAAAACACCACCCACCTAATGGGAGAAAATATTTGCAAACTACTCATTTGACAAGGAATTAATAACTAGCATATATAAGGAGCTCAAACAACTCTATAGAAAATAATCCGATTAAAAATGGGCAAAAGATGTGAATAGATATTTCTCAAAATAAGATATACAAATGACCAACAAGTATATAAGAAATGCTCAATATCACTAATAATCAGAGAAATGCAAATCAAAATTATTATACAATGAGATATCACCTCACCCCAGTTAAAATGACTTTTGTCCAAAAGATGGAAAATAACCAGTGCTAACAAGGATGTGGAGAATGGGGAGTCCTCTTCTTGTGGAGAGAGGTTGTTGGTGGGAATATAAATTAGTACAGCCACCTTGGAGAACAGTATGGAGGCTCCTCAAAGAACTAAAAATTAGAACTACTACATGATTCAGCAATTCTACTATGAGGTACATACCCAAAAGAAAGAAATCAGTTTATTGTAGAGATATCTTCAGTCCCATGTTGATTTCAGCACTGTTCACAATAACCAAGATTTGAAATCAACCTAAGTGTTCATCAATGGTAGAATAGAAAAAGAAAATATGGTCCAGATACACAATGGAATATTATTCAACCATAAAAATTAAATTATCTCATTTGCAATAACATGGTTGGAACTGGAGGACATTATGTTAAATGAAAGAAGACAGGCACAGAAATACAAATATCATGTATTTGCACTCATACGTGAGAAGTAAAAAAAATAAACTCATGGAAATTGGAAGTACAATGATGATTATCAGACAGAATAGTAGGAAGGATGGGATAAAGTGGGGATGGTTAATGAGTACAAAATACGGTTAGATAGAGTGAATTAAATCTAGTATTCAGTAGTACAACAGAGTGGCGATAGTTAACAGAAATTTATTGTATATTTTAAATTATCTAGAAGAGTGGAATTGGAATGTTCCTAACACAAGGAAAAGATAAATAATTGAAGTGATAGAGACTTCAGTTACCTTGATTCAATCATCACACATTGTATGCTCGTACCAAAACATCACATGTGCCCTATAAACATATACAACTGTTATATATGTATAATAATGAAATATTTAAACTTTTAAAAAAGTGTTGTTTAGTGCATCACCTTTATCAATGATCTCAGTTAGATTTTCTGAATAACTTCCTGCAGCCTCTACATCAGCACTTGCTGCTTCACCTTGCACTGTTATGTTATGGAAATGGCTTCTTTTCTTAAACCTCATGAACCAATTCTGCCAGCTTCAGATTTTTCTTCTGAAGCTTCCTCACTCCTTTCTGCCTTCATAGAATTGAGGAGGATAGAATTAAGGTTCTTGCTTTGGATTAGGCTTTAGCTTAAGGGAATGGTGTGGCTGGTTTGATCTTCTATCCAGGCCACTAAAACTTTCCCTTTACTATCAGTAAGACTTTTTTGCTTTCTTATAATTCATGGGTTCACTAGAATAAGACTTTTAATTTTCTTCAAGAATCTTTTATTTCCATTCACAACTTGGCCAACTGGGTTCAAGAGGCCTAGTTTTAGCTTCTGACATGCCTTTCTCACAATGTTTAATAATTTCTAGTTTTTGGTCTAAAGTGAGAGAACCTTTCATTTGAACATTTACAGACTATTGCAGAGTTATTGATTGGCTTAATTTCAATATTGTTGTGTCTCAGGGAATAGAGAGGTCCAACAAAAAGGAGAGAGATGAGTGACTATCTGGCCGATGGAGCAGTTGGAATACACATATTTTTCTATTAAGTTTGCTCTTTTATATGGGCCAGATTTATGTCTCCTGGAAACAATAATAATAGTAACACCAAATATCACTGATCCCACATTACCATAATAGATATAATAATAATGAAAAAGTTCAAAATATTGTGAAAATTACCAAAGTGCATCAGAGAGAGAAAGTGAACACATTCTATTGAAAAAAATAGTGTCAATAGACTTGTACAGTTCAGGGTTGCCACCAACCTTCAATTTGTAGAAAACACAATATCTGCAAAGCGCAATAAAGTGAAGCACAATAAAATGAGGTATTGCTGTGTTTGTTACTTGAATGAGACAGTATTCACCATCAATTTTATTCCTATATTCTCTTTTCTTTTTCTTTTTTTTTTTAGGTAGGTGCCGAGAAAATGTGATCACAAAAACAGATGGTAATGGAAGCTATTTTATTATAGCAAGGTTTCTTGGCTCTTTGAACTTCTTAATAGTTATATGCCCCAAATTACATAGCTATCTATCTTCAAAATTATTTTTAATAATCTGTCATCTGACAACTCTATTAGGTTTTCCCTTCATTGTGTTGAAAGTAAATAATGGGAAACCTGAACAAAAGGATTTATTACCCAGCCATTAATGCCATTCACTTTTGCAATACCAACTTTAGCACTTTTATTTCTCTCTAAGGGTGTCTCAGGGTTATTTGCCTTCAGGGCAAAGCATCGTAGTTAGAGTGACTATATAGTTTATCATCCAAATAAAGAATACACATAGGCAATATTAATAAGTAAACAAGAAAAACAAGCATAAGCCATACTCTCATTAGCAAATCAGCACATAACTATCACCCTATTGGTTAAAAAAATAAAAATGGATAAGAGACAAGCCATTGTTTGTACAATTAGAGAGAGAAATTTGTAGAAAGAGAAGTGAAAAATGGCAGATCTCCTTTTCATGGCAAATATATTTTAAAATAGATATGTTTTACTCTTAGAAAGCTGCATATTTAAAAGTTGAGGATCTTAATATTTCCAGATATTTATGCCTGGAAACATTAAGGCACGGCAATGTGTTAGAACAAAAGACACAGTGGCAGAACATGCAGGTCTTTACTGCAGGAGACCTTTGACATGATGTTGGTTTATTTGGAATCTACTCTTTCAGTAATGTGAAATTATGTTCTAAGACAACTAAGATCCCTGCCTCCAACACTATATATCTTGATCTAGGGTAACCTGTGTTATTAAATTGTCTGAGAGGATTGTATTGGTCAGAGGACACATCCCAATGTAATGAAATAAGTTAATGCCCCACTCACCTTTAACTCACAGAGAAAAGTTTGCACAAGTAGCTTATGTGGTCAAATTTAGTTGAAATACCTTCCCAGTTTACTCACTCCCAACACTAACTAGTAATATTCATTACTGCATGGCAAAGTTGTAGAATGGGGCTGGTGTAGAGGGAGACGTAGAAAAATAAGCTAGAGGAGAAGGCTCCCAGCTGCAAATTTTAATTTTTTTTCTGAAAGTTGTTTGTATTCTGTTTGGGATATTTGTCTCAACATTTGGTATTTTACATAGGTAATGAGAAAATTTCTTGTTACCCCATGTCAAACCTTGGAAGTCTAAATACTTACGGTCTAAATACCTAAAATCTAAATACTTTCTTTAGAATCAAAATATGTATTCTCCAATATTCTGACCCATATGTAACCTGCTTAACCAGTGTCTAAATAAACTTCATATCCAGACATTACCAGAAGTCTTCAAATTCAGTTTTCTAGAGGACAAATAACATGGAAGTAAAAAATATGAATACGAATATCCGAACATTTAAACCACACAGCATAAAACGTCAGTCCTGTTCCCTTCCTCCTTTCTTTGTGTCTTCTCAAGGACTTACTATCTCTCTCCGTTGCATCATATGTTTATTTTCTCTTTCCTATAACACTTCTTAGTATTCTCCATGTGAGATGAGAAATAAATTTCCCTTGACCTCATATTTCTGATCTAGAGCCACACCTTTCTAGAAAACTCTTCTTTTTATATTGAAGCATGTTGAAATCTCTTCTATTTCAATGGTGTCTCCATTCCCTGACTATACATTCCTTTTTCATCTACTGTTTACAAAAAGGGTATCCCTAATCTTCAAGTTCAATCTTCACTTGTGTTCTTACTTCTTTAGCAGTATTTCCAGATATTGTGGCCACACTCCCTTCAAAACAAACAAACGAACAAACAAAAAACACATAGTTAGCTGATATGTTTTCTTATTTATTGTTTTTCATTTGTTTGGTGGCGACATATTTGTTTTTGCTTTTTTAAATTATTTTCTTTTGCTGCCTTAATAATATAAGTCCATTGAAGTAAGAACCCTTCAAAAAACACATGGATGCAGAGAAAGTACCAAATAAATAGCGAATGAATAAGAAAAAGTTATTATTTTGGAAACAGTTTTATTGAATATATGGAATCCAGAGATCTGCAGCCCATGCAAAACCACTAGCTTAATCAGTAAAGATAAGTTGATTTTAGTGATTGCTTCAAGAAAACAAATTCAGCTCTCTTCATGTTCTCGGTTATTAAGTACCTTACCATTTTATTGATCTCTGATCTTTTCATTATTATTCCCTCCTAGTTTATTTTACTTTTATTTCTTTTTTTCTAGCTTTCTTCTATTTTCAAAATATGCACTTAAGGCTACACATTTCTCTTTATGCTCTGATATACCTACATCCATAGTAATATCTCTCATGTGTCATATTTTCATTATTATTTATTTCAAAATGTTTTGTACAGCTTTGTGTATTTCCTCTTAAAAGACAGGTTATTTAGAAGTACATGGGTAATGTTCAAACATTGAGATTTTATAGTTGTCTTTTTAAAATAATTTATTTGCAGTTTAATTTATTCCTAGTCAAAGAACACATTAGAGGTTGATTTTCATGATTTAGTTTTGAAAAAAAAAGTGCTTCATTGGTACATTTGGTATCACCTTTGCATAACCTCGAGTCAGCAGCTAAAAGTTTTTTTTTGTTACAATGCCTGCCTCTAACATCACCCTCTTACTGCCTCCAAATTGCTGCTTTTAATTTTCTGTGTGCTGGGAAATCAGATAAGCAAGCACTTTTTTAAATAGTGTCTAAAATAAGAGTTTGTAAGACCTGAGGGACTCTTCTATGAAGACAGTGCTTGGCTTTTGGCTCACAATCTATGCCACATTTATTTTTATTGAGGCCACTAAGAGACATGTGTTTGTTGATTTTCAGGCTCATGCCTCTGTGTGATCTGATTAGTTAAGTTTATCAAATTTATAGTGAGTGCCCACTGAACAGCAGGGACTGGACCTGAGCTGGATTTACAATTGTGAATAAAGCAGTATTCACCCTCAAGGCTCTTTGCGTTCAGTAGGTGAGAAAGTCACTCACAGAAAATGTGCATATACCACAACAATTTCAATTAAAAAGACTCATACAAAGTTTATGAGAACACAGAACTAGGCACCTAACCCGGACTGGTGGGTATGCATGCTTGGAGGGATGTTCAGAGAGGAGATAAGGAAAGGAATTAAGATACAAATAATTATTGAAATAAGTATTAAAGAATTAATAGATATTAGAAAGACAGAGTAAAAATAAAGCCATTCCAAACAGAAGGAAAAACATCGTCAAAGGTACAGAGGAAAGCAAGCAAATAAAAAGCAGAAAGTATGTGAGTTACAATACATTACAGTATTGTACAATATACAATACAGTAGGACAGTGTTGGTAGGCAAAGCGCATGTCAAGAGAGAAATAGTTGAAAAAAGTGATCATTGCTCTGCTTGAGTTTTCATCTGTGGCTAAAATGTTTCATATACACATAAAGAGGACAAGAGAGCTACTGACAGATATGACTACATTATTTAAATCATTTTGTAAAAATTAAAACCAAATACATAGTTCAAAGCACTTTTGTTCACCAGTTTATTTATTACATCTCAACACTCTTGTGCTTTGCATGTGGTATCTATTCACAATAAAAATTATTTATCTAAAATATTAGGAACATCAGATGATAATGAACTGTTATATGAACATATTTACATTCTCACATTTGTATTTTTGAATTGGAGGAAAAGCAAACTAATCATCGATATATACAATCCTCAGTCTGTCTTACCTGAGCAAAAGCATGATATGATTATTCCTTAAGAAATTTCGAGCCAGGTGAATCAGAATTCATTCATTTAACAAGTATTTGTGGAGTCCTTTCCATGTGTCTGGTGCTGTTCTGGACAGAGAGGATAAAATGGTGAATGGATACTGGCATATTTCTGACACTTAAAATCATAGGGTCTAGTGGAGGAGGCAGACATCCATCAAGTAATCACAAAAAATAAATGCTAACAATGTTATAAGTGTTATATGACACATAAAGAGATGGTAACAAGAAGATTCTATTTAATCTGGGAGTATTGTCTCTCACAGGCTCTAAAGGAAGCAAAAAAGTTAACTGTGATCTAAATATTGAATCAAAATTAACTAGATAATGGGAGACAGAGTAAAGGGATTAGAAAGGGTATTTCAATCAGCCTGGTCAATATGTGCAATTCTCACTAGGATGAGAGTGCATAGACTGTCTCTGGAACGGAATGAAGGCTGAAGAATGTGTTATGTGGAAAGGACTGAGACAAAGTGTGGAGTGATGGCAAAAAGAAAGGACATGAGCAAGTCTGGGTAGAAACTCTAGGTGCCAGACCAAATAGAACTTTGTACTTAGTTCAAAAATTTGTTATCTAAATAGAGTTTTTGTTTTGTTTACCTCCTAACATTTTTTTAAAATTTGAAATTAATTTCAAACTCCCAAAAAGCTGCACAAATAAAATAGTTCAAGGAAGAGCCTTATACACTTTACCAATTCACTTGTCATAACTTGCCCTGTTTGCTTTATAATTTATTCATTTTCTCTCTCCCTTCCTCTTTCTCCTGTGAGTGTGTGTGTGTGCGTGTGTGTGTGTGTGTGTTCCAGAACCAGTATGAGCAGTCTGATTGACTGTCCATGTTTTAGCACTGAAAGTCCCGTGTCCCTGGAAACCTATCAGTCCAAGATAAAACATAACAGTTAGTCACTCTGAAAGTATCCAGCCTATGATGGAGTATTGCACTTAGCTATCACGTCTCTTAATGATTTCTTTGAATGTGAAATTTCACACATTTTTAATTAAAGTTGTACATTTTTCTCAGGATATCAAATCTAGACATGCAATTTGAACAGCTATGTATAAATGTTCCTCCTTTTATATATTAGTATCTTATGGTCCAAACAAAGTGTTATCTGCAACTCTTTAGAACAAAACAATAAATTGTGTAATAATGAGTCAAGAAAAGGAGACTTAAGTTGGATTCAGAGCTCTGATAGATGCAGACACAATTAAAATATAAAAAAGTTGTCATCATTGTTTGTAAAGAGTTGTGTTAGATTAAATATTATAGTCAATACACACACTGTGTAGTTATTATAAATTTAATTAATCAATGTTAAAGAAATACTTTAAGAACCCCTCAAAAATTAATTAATTAAGAAGTTTCATCATTGACTAAACATCTGTAGTTCTCTTATAATGCTATGTGTTTATCTTGTCCATATAATCAAATGTAATGACCAAACTCATTTTTTTCCCTATACTAGATTTGTATTATTGCTGAAACACATTACCATAAAACAGTTGCTTAAAACAACACAAATATATTATTTTACAGATCTGGAAGCCAGAAGTCCAAAATTAGTCTTGTGGGAATAAAATCAAGGTGTCCATAAGCTAGTCCCTTCTGAAAGCTCCAGGGAGAATCTGTTCCTATCTTTGAACGACTCATAGCATCATCATTTTTTGGCTTGTGTTCCTACCATTCCAGTCTCTGCCATTGTCATCACATTGCCTTCCTTCTAATCTCTGATATTTGTGTCCTTTTAAGGATCCCCATGATTACATTGGGCACACCCAGACAATCCAACATGATCTCACAACTCAATATCTTCAACTTAATCACTTATACAATATCTTTTTGCAATGTAAGGAAACATATTGACAGGGTCTGGGGATTAGTACATGGACATTTTTGGGGTGCCATTATTCAGTTTACCATAGCTCCCAAATTCTGTATTGAGTTCAGATCAGATATGTAGCTCCTAAACACACAAGTACCATAAAGGCTACTTGTCTGAAACTCAGCTCACTTGTGCCTACCAAGTCCTCCTTTATCTAATTTATGAATCTCCATTTGAAATTTCTTTTTTTTTTCTTTTTTTTTCTTTTTTTTTTTTTTTTTTTGAGGCCGAGTCTCGCTCTTTCGCCCAGGCCGGACTGCAGTGGCACTATCTCGGCTCACTGCAAGCTCCGCCTCCCGGGTTCAGCTTTCCCGACTTATTATCACATCCAGAGATATGTTACTCATCTATGGCACTCTTTCTTCCCTACTTCTCACACATATCCAGGGATTAAATCTCATTTGTCCTTCCTCCTTTGCATCTCTACTGCTGTAATCTCAGTTCAGGAAGTCACAAAGGGCACTGAGATGCTGACTGAGGTGTCATTCCTAAGAACAATGTCCATTCTTTAGAGTCTGGATACTTTCAGCTCATTTTTTTTTTTTTTTGTAGCTCATTAAATTTCATCAGTACTTAAGTACTTGCGATTTCCCCGATGTGTTTTCTTATTTTTTTTTTTTTTTTTTTACTGCTATGGAAACTAGAGTTCATCACATAGAAAGCTATGGCTATTTTGAATGACTTCATAAATACATACAGTCTTATATGCACACATTTTAAAAATAAATGTTACTGTCATGCACGAAAATTACTGTATAACTTCAAATATGTTTTTGCCACAGACTGGTACAAGACTTCCTGATGGGGAGAGCAACCTGAACAGTCAGCTCAGCTTGCAATGTGCTCCTCTGGAGGCAATCGGCTCTGCCTCACTGTGACTCTTTTCCCAAAACTATGTTTTATGGAACTCTGGGCCAAACTATTAGAGCTTCTACAAAAACAGTAAGATGTCAGTGATTGAACAATTTTAGTAATAGAGTTAACGTACTAAACTAGGTTTCTTAATTGCAGGAATTTTCAGAGACTTCAGTATTTTAATAATATTGTGATTTATCATGTAGGTATACATGTACGTGTAGAATTTTTCAAAAGTTTTTAAAACCAGTTCTCCATTTATTTTCTCAGAAAATCAATCAGCTATTGAACAACTATTTTTCACAAAACACAATTCAAGCTACTATTTTGCTTTAACCCCATACTAGTTTCTTGTGGCTACTGTCACAACTATCACAAATTTTGTGGTTAAAATAACATAAACTTATTCTTTCACAGTTCTAAAGGCCAGATACCTGAAATTAGTATCACTTGGCTGAATCAAGGTGTTGTGAGGACTGTGCTGCTTCTGGAAGCTCTGAGAGAGAATCTACACCTTGCCTTTTTGAGCTGTTAGTGGCTGCCTTCATTCCTTGGCTTGTGGCCTCATCACTCTAACCTCTGTTTTCATATCACCCCTTTCTCTGTGTGAGAAAAGTCTCCATCTGTGTCTTTATAAAGACACATATGATTGCATTTGGATCCACTCTGCTAACCCAGATAATTCACCTATCTTAAAGGTGAATTATCTTTAAATATTAATAATCTTAAAATATTAGCTTAATCATACCTGAAAATACCCTTTTCTCCAAATAAAACCTTGCAGGTTGGGGTCAGCAGGTTATGCTCAATTTTCCCTCTCTTCGAAATTGTTAAATTTTTTCTTAGTTACCATACATGAAACACCTCCATTATACACAAATAGGATGCATAATCATACACTGATTGACAGTGTAACATCAGTAGGTCTGAACTCTGACTTAAGCAACCTGGGCACTTAAACTGTGTGTACCCTACAATATTATTTAAATTATCCCTATATACCCAAGCTGCATAACTGCAATTCTTTTTTTAATACAGGTTTTCTCTCTGTTGCCCAGGCTGGAGTACAGTAGCATGATCACAGCTCACTGCAACTTTGACTCCCTGGGCTGAAGCAATCCTCCCACTTCAGCCTCTTAAAGAGGTGGGATTATAGGCAGGAGGCCACGCCCAGCCCATAACTGCAATATTGATGGGCTAGATTGAATTATTTAATTATCCTATTTTTAAAAATTGAGTTCTATTTTTAATATAGCAGTGTAAACTACCCATTTGTGAGCACCTGTTAGAATATGAGCTCCACAAGGACAGAGACCAATATTTCTCTCACACTGGCATGTATTAGACACTGAATAGGCATAAAATAAACATAAAAAGTTATATGTCTCAACTTTTTTAAGAGAATGTAATGAAATTTCAATATTTTGTATGTTTATACAAAAAAAAATTAAATTTTACACTAACAACTGATTTCATGGGAGGCAAATTATCAAATAACCACTGATTATTTCTGTGGTTAAAAATTACTTTTCTCTAAATTTAGTTACCTATAACTTGTTGATAAAAGTAGAAGTTGTAATATAGTTCATGCTCAAGTGAAGGTCAGTCAGTTAGAACTTGGCTGTTCAATTATGTGGGGAGTAAAAACAATGTATGCCAATAAAGCTACTGGTAAGATTCAGCAAAAGATGTAACTATCACTCCATTCATGAGAGCAGCACACAACATTTCTTCTGTATAAGATTTTCCACCCTCTATCCATCTTGCCGTTTATTCTTCAGCTCTGTGATTTAGACAAAGTGTTCGATACAACCAGCAGAGCCTGAGGACATCAGAAGGCATGAAGGAAATATTGTTTATACCCAAGTAATCAAGAGTGCAATGGAGGTGAGGGTTGTTATTATAAAGGGTTTGGAAACCTCTTTGTGAAAAGACCAAAAATAAGCTGCCAGAGGAGTGTGTGACAGCGATATGAGCTATTCATTGTTAGTGGTCTCGGACTTTCCCTACTCCCTCCCTTCCTTCTTCTTGGGCAATTCAGTTTCCCCCAGCCTTATTGCTGGTGTGTTTGCATCCTCAGTCTTGTCTACAAGAACTCCTACACTTCCCACAGTCTCTAAGGTCTCTGTTTTCTGCTATTTTTTTCTTTTTTTACATTAAAAAAAGGATTATGGCTCCTTTCCCTTATACTTTTCCAGTTTCTGTGTAGCAAAAGACTGGGAGAAACTGGATTTACTATAAACAGCTAGTAGCTTCAGAGATAATTTAAAAGAATTATTAATTTAACTAAAAAAGAGATTGAGTGATTTAAGGTAAGTTATTACAAAAATCAAAAATTTTTTTTTTCAGCTATCTCCTAAGATAGCTCCCAAGGACCAGAACAATTATACTCATCATTATACAAAAATGACTGAAGAATGCCTTGTGATTCACATAATACTGTTGCAATCAGCTTAGCCCTTAGTTCAGCTAGGACCAAGTTCTTGTCCTATGACCAAGAAGAATGAGGTACGTGGATACTGGAGAGTGAGTAGAGTAGGATTTATTAGCAAAAGGAAAGCTCTCAGCAAAGAGAGAGGGCCTGACAGCAAGTTTCCAGAAATGGGGTGGAGTTCTGGGTCTTTTATGTGGCAGAAGCCAGGAAGCCTTCTGTGGGTTTTGCCCAAATGGGAGGAGTAAACTTTCCTCCTAGGGGTGTTGCATCTGCACATGCCTGGGCTTGGCCAGAGTGACTCCACCTTGGTTATTACCTATGAGTGCCTAAGTGAAACCTATGGGTCGGGGGATAAAACCACAATGCTAATATCATGTTAATGACATTATAACCAGCTGGGTCACCTTAAGGACATTTAGGTTGATTTACTGAGCCTGTACCTAAGTTGTGACAGTTCCTTCTGAGCAACATCCTGGCACAAGAAGTTCTTAGCCACATTTCTTCCTGTTAGCTGCAGAGGGGGTGTAGGTGCTATCTTGTGGTTGTTCCTGTGAACACTGCCCTTCTCTGTCCTTCTCCCGAGACCCTCTCTCTCTATCTGCCTAACCAGCCCCTAACTGCGTCCTCTCTCAATACTTTCTTCTTCATCCAGAATCTCTCCTCTTTTAAATAATCAACAAACAGAAAGAAGACTCAACTTGGCTGTGATATTCCACCGTAAGAATATCCAGGTCTAATCCATACACAATTAAATCCTTGCATTTACTTTTCCCAACAATATTTTGTTTTGGAATCATCTGTGAAATATTCTCCCTTGCCATAGAAATCAATAAGACTCATTTTGCTTTATTCATAGATTTATTTACTTCAGATGGGAACTTTCTAAATTAGTAATGATTAACGAATTATAGACTATATTTCTATAACTAAGCAGATATTTTACATGTGAGAAAATTTTAGAATTTGCCTAAAGACACTTATAATAAGAGTTTCAAGAAAAGGTAAGGTTTCAGTTAAAGTTTCTATAGCATGGCTGAAATGTGATTAAGACAGTCTTAGTTGAGGCCGGCCCCTGACAAATGAGAAGAGAGGGGAAGTACATGTTAAGAAGAACCAAATACAATATTTTTAGTAACACACATGGATCTACTTTTTTTTCCAGAATATATCCTAAAACAAGAACTTCAAAAGACCCAGCTTGTGCTGTAACTCAAGTTTCTAATCAATACTTTTAGATAGGCAGGAATAAAAAATTCTCTTTATGGGTACAATATTTGGTTCCACGTTCCTCTAGCGAGGAATTTTACCCCACATATATGAAACCTATGAAAGTAGAAGCATACCTTATAAACTCCTCTGATGTTTTATTATGAAGAATTTTGTGCTGACTCAACTAAGATCAGTAAATCAGTTACTTGATATTTCAGGATTATGAGTTTGTTTATTTTTTTATTTTTTTCTGTGGGAAAATACTCAAGAAAAGAATATATTTTATTATTTTGGGAGAAGAAAAGAGATATTAAGTGACTTGGAGCTAGCTTTCTGGTAAGGGTGAGCTAAAATCGCTATTAAAGAAATAAGTGCACATGAGACAAATGTTCTTTTAAAAATCACATTGTGACATTCAAATTGATGTAAATATCTTCTTTTGAGAAATGTATATCAAATATGTCAGAGGAAATCAGTGCATTAACTACTATTAATTGCATTTAACATTTTATTCTAAAAATATTATTTACATAAGAAGTTATTTTTAAAGTGACTTTTAGTCACTTTAGACTTTAAGTAAAATGGTAAATTATGATGTACAGAAAATTCAGATTGATTTCTCTCTTTGAATTATGTACATTAAAGGATACCTCTGTAATTGTCAGGATTTAATTTATTACATCGAAGTAGATTTCCATTGGATTAACCTTTCATTTTAAAACATGCTGCTTGATTATCATGGCTATTATTTTTAATTGTGAAGAGTAGATCTTATGATTACCGGTTTTACATAAACAATCCCTGCTTGTAAACAAAACAAAACTTTGTGCTTATATTGTAAAATGACGCACTCATACTACAGTTGAAAAATGAAGAAATATTATAAGTGCTAAAAATTACTTGCATTTTGTAGCCTAGAAGGCAATATGCAATTTTCAGCTTAGTATTGATGTCACAGAATATTTATTAAAACATTCTATAAACTGATGAAATAAAATGATAAATATATAAAAATTAGTATGAAATATTTTTCAGACATATTAGCAATGACTCAGAAAAACTTTTAAACTATATTTTTAAAATAGCTATGTTCATTTGTGTGAGAAAACTTTAAAAATCATATACTATTTCACTATTTCACTATCATATACTATTTCACAAGAGGTAACATTAGTAAAAATTGTGTTTTAACTTATGCTAAGAAGTTAACCACAACATCAAAGTAGTACTTTAATTTTAAAATTCTAACACATAGTAAAAACATAGAAATTATTATTACATTTATTCTTCCAATAATTTACAGATGTTCTAATATTATTTTCAAAAATATTAAATGGCATGAGGATATTTTCTTTCTATAATGCTAAAAGAATGCATCATAACTCAAAACTATATATTGACTATGTTATAACTTGTGTGTGGGTAATTTTAAATAGAAATTTAAGCAAAATCTGGGAAACGCGTGTTTATAGTGTTTAATTTTTAGTAATGTTATTTGGAGTGACTTCCCATTGTCTCCTTGTTTTGTATGTATGTTCTGAATAAATCAATTATTTACATTTAACATAAATGAATCACCTATTCAGTTAAAAATAAAGTGTGCTTTAGATATAGGACTTTTTATTAAAAATGATTTCTATAGAATATTCCTTATAAATACTTTTATTATGTGTTTGTTTTCTCCTGATAAACTATAGATGTTGAACTAAAACATCTTAGTTAAAAGACAAAATAAAGTGAAACTGTGAAATAAAAATGGTATTTAAAATGGAAATTGTATCTTTGCCTTCTAAAATTAATATATAATTCAAATTACTCATATCAAGAAGTCTGAATATTGCTCCCCTCCATGTGTAAAAACTTGTTCGAGAAAGGAATGATAAAACCTAGTCACTGCCAGTGATTCTTTGTTGCAAAGAATGAGCCAAAGGGGAGAAAAAGGGCCCTTTCTTACACTGGTCTCCTTAGCAAGCAAATGCTTAAATTCATAAATAATGGGGAAATGAAGAATTGAACTCTGAAGAGTCAAATGAAAGGAAAGCGTGTTGGAAAAGAAGAAGGGAAAGAGACAGTGCTGTTGTACCAAATGAAGAGTTATGCAGACTTGGAATGCACTTGGTAGCCACCTACAACCACAGGAGAAACCTGCATTAGGATAAATTTTAAACTCTGATTGGCATTTCAGAAGATGGAGATTCTGGTTTATTTACAACACTGCTAATATGCTGGACGACTTTATCACTAGGTTTATTTTGATATAAGCTTATACATTTCCTATTTGTTTAAATTATAACCTTCATTAAAGGCATTCTAACTGATATATTGTCTTTAAGTAACCTCAGGTGGCAACCAGGGTTTCACAGGGATATAGGGATATCAAAATATGCTATTGCATCTCCAAGGAAACTAGAACAGAAAACAGAAAATTCACTAGCATAAAAATGCCACCATAGTTTCTTTATTTCTGTCTAAATCTTTGAGGTCATGACATTAAGCTTCAGTCTCCCATTTTATCTTCAACTTATCTCTGTGCAACTTCTACATTTTTCTCCCTTTCTCTTCACTGTCTCTCCACTTTGCCACATATTTTCCAGTATCACATTACCTCTGATTTGCAACACACAAGAAAGTCAAGTAGACAACCTGGTTTTCAATTTCAAATTCCCAGGAGATAGATTACTGACATCTTCTGAATCATTGTTTGACTATTGCAAAGGAAAATTTTTCTTAATATTTTATGTGGCAGAAAGGAATTGACTATTGACTGTGTTAAAATCAGTTGCTCTATTCTATATTTCTAAGTGATAAATTCTCTTCAGCTTTTGACAGGAACAAATCATACTTATGCATCTATTGACAATTTCTATGTTACTTAGGTGCTTTTTGTTGTTGATAATTCAACAGACATTTATTTTTGAGTGAAAAATGACGTATGTGTTTAAAGAACTTCCCTTGAATAAAGGCGGGCTTGATATCATGAAAACGTTTTTTAAAAAAATTTAGAAAACATGATTAGGAATTTGCTGCCTGAAGAGACTTAGCTGGTACAAATAAGGGGACAAGTAGTTGGTGTCTGTTCTAGGTACTATTGTTGTATAATAATCCATACTAATTTTGAGGTATAAAAGAGTTATTTTATTGTACTCAGAAATCCTGAGGCCTAGGATTTCAAGAATGAAGCAATAATGACTTGCTCAACTCATTCATGTCTTAGGCCTCAGCAGGAAGATATTAAGTGATATAGGACTTAACTTATATGAGCTGGAATCATCTGGAAACATCTTATTTCTTCTATCCGGCAACTGATGATGGCAGTCAGTGGAACCTCTACAGTCCATCAGCTGAAATGTGGCCTCTCCATGTGATTTCTTCATGTAGGTTAGTTTGGACTTCCTCACAAGGTGGCTTCAGGTGGATTCTAAAAGCAAGTGTCTGAAGAGAGTAAGAAAAGTATGTGCTGTTTTGAACACCTAGCCTCAGAAGATACATAGTGATACTTCTAGCATACTCTTGTGTTTGAGGCAGTTATGATACTTCGTGTGGTTCAAGGGAGAGGACACTTGGAAGGAATGTCAAAATTAAATCCTTAGAAGAGCTAGTGAGGTGGGAGATACTGTAGCTAATCTTTAGAAAATACAATTGCCACAAGGCTTTTATTTATTCTAACAATCTTTAAGGATCCATGTTTGTGCCAAAATCAAAAGGCTCTATCAGCATACGTGAGATGAGCATAGCAGCTTGCCCATCTGAAGTGTCATCAATATGTAAATGTCATAGACATAGAGCTCTGAGTCAACACAGGGTAGTCTACGGATACCAACACAGCCTGACAAGTGGCTATGAATACAATTCTGGCAGCAAGTATATATTTTTAAATGATTTTTAATTATGTCCTTTAGCTTCAATTAAGAGGGTACTCCATAAAACTGTGTATCGTACATAGGCATCTAATAAGGCAATAAAGTTATTCAGATCGAATTCGTCTTGTACTACCCTATTTTTCTACTTTTCTTTGATATTCCCTCAAGCAGCTAAGTATGCAACTGTGTTAATCATCTGTTTACATAAAAGCTTTATATAATTGTTATGAAATTTTGAAATTTGTCATGTGTACTACCACCTTGGAAGAAAAAAAAAATTTTTAATCTTTGCACTTTATCTTCTATTTAATTTTATAATAAACTAGATTGTTCATCAAATTTTACCTTTTTTTCTTGGAACTATGTGTGAAATTTCCATTTTTTGCGTGCTAGTGTCTCTGTGGTAACATACTACAGACTTAAATGAGACTTAAAGGTTTTTAACAGTTGGAAGGCCAGTACTCAATATTTATCCTGAAGTTGCCATGGCTACTAATGCAGACAAAGTTTGCTGATCAAGTTCAAGCTAGAGATAGCCAGAAAAGCACAAGGGGTCTCATTAATGGTTTCAACGATTAACCACAGTGAAAAATAGTGACTGAATGTTCTGTCTTGGTTTCTTATTCTGTTGTTCTCATTAAAGATAAAGCGAGACTATTTAGGAAAATATATACCTAAGTAAATATAGTTTGATAAGTGTCATTCATACTGTTGATAAGATGACAGAGCAAAAATTACTCTAATTTTACTCCATTATCACCTGAAAACACTAATGTAAATGATTTCTGGCCATTATACATCACCTAATATCACAGGCCAATAAGCCTCTGCTATTGACTAAATATTTGTATTATACTTTTAATGCATTAAATATTACTAAAAACCTATAACTAAGAAAATATGTGTGTGTGTGTGTGTGTGTGTGTGTGTGTGTGTGTGCATGTGTGTGTATCCAATATAGTCTTACTCAGAATAAAAAGAGGATTTCTCTTCTTAGGATTAATCCATCTTAGTTTGTTTTTGCCATTTAAATATTATACTTGTTTATACTTTAAATGCCAAATTATCAGTAAGCCTGCATGTAGTCCTGTTTAAAGTTGATTGATCTTCAAGAATATGGTTATAAAGGTAAATTCATTTTCAATTTCATTCAAAGGTTGTTGCTAATTAAATCTATAATGATTTTAACATAGAATGATTTTATGCAGTTAGAATGCACTCAGTTACTAGAATAGAATATCCAAATACTTTTTGGCTGAAGAAATAAAGAGAACACCTAAGAAGCAACCTGAGGTATTTGGATCTAGAGCCTGGGCACTGATTCAATTGGTTTATTGAAGAATTACTTAATCTAAGTTTTTCCCAGTCAGTACACTGTTGATGTCCCTGTTCATAATTTGGAAGATTACAGTCATAGCCTTGAATATCACATCCTTGCTATTTATCAATATACAAAATTGCCTTCAAATCCATCATCTTTCTTAATACACTGCTGAATTATTAAGTTGCACTGAGGGAGGGTAGCAATCTCATTTTGCTACTCCTAAAACTTGTTTATTCTGATAAATTGTCTCCTTCCTTCTACCACTATGCTTTAGCATTCTTTAACCTCTGTTATCTACTCATAAACCTGGAAGAATCATTGTTCGTTCTTGCATTAAAGTTACACTCTCTACTCCAGCCCCAGTATTATGTATGTGAACAATTGCTCAAAATCCAAATAATATAGGACAATCTGGAAAAAAATGTTAAACTCCAGCTGGCGCCTGCTCATTGGGTTGGATAATACAGTTTTGAAAGTAATTTTACCTAATCCTAATGCACCTATATTTGTAAACCACCAGTGCTTATGCAGAAAGCTCCGGATGTTTGATTAATGTCATTCTAATAATGTGACTTTTCCATATGCAGGGTCTGACATCAACACTAAATGTGAAATATCCCTATTTTCTGCAAAAGTGTTATTTTTTAATTATTATGTTTCTTGGTGTCTAAAAATATGCAGGCTTTTTAAATGGTTTACTATACAGTTTTGGACAGGTCATTGTTTGGAACAGGAAATTTTAAAATATAAATCTGTGCATAACTCATCATTAATATCTCTGGTAGATATCAGTGCCACTGCAGATCTTTTTTCTCCATTTACTGGCTGAATGAATTTGAACATTTTTCTTTAGCTTTCTGATATCATGTCTCCTTTTCCATAAAATGCATATTCTTTTTGAAAAATTACTAATCACTGAGCTAGGTACCATAAAACCAAAAGTGAATCAACTGTCATGGCTCTCTCAGAATTCTAGTCTGTAGGGAAAAAAAGACACAACTCTTTATAAAAGCAGAATGAAAGAGTACTTGCATAGCATTACTACAAGAATGTTCTAGAATTGTGAAGGACCATTAATCTTTAAGGGAAGACAGGGAGGATTCTTGAAAAAGAAAATATCAAAAGGGGTCTTATAGTTTGAGTAGTATGTGCTAGTAGTAAAAGAAGGCTATTAAGACAATCTAGGAAGAAGCCTCTATATAGAATTCAGAGCTTTGACATTGTAAGTAGGCTAATCAACCATTCCCAATGGGCTGGGACCAAAGGGTTTCTCAGGATTCAGTATTTTAGTGCTAAAAATTGGGCAGTCACGGTCAAACCAGGAATAGTTTTCACTATAAAAGTGAATTGTAAATTAAAAAGAGGTAAGGGCGCTAAACATAAGATCTACCTTTTTAGTACATTTTAAGTATACAATACAGTATTGATAACCTTAGGCACTCTGCTGCATAGTGGATCTCCAGAACTTCTTATCTTGCATAACTGAAAGTTCATACCCTTTGACACTATCTCCCCATTCCCGCCACCCCAACTCCTGTTATCCACCATTCTACTCTCTGCTTCTGTGACTTTGACATTAATAATAAAGGGATGGGAGTAAACTATGGAAGATAATGGACACGTGTATGACCTTGATGGAGGAGATGGTTTCACAGATGGATATTTATCCTCAAACTCATCTAGTTGTATACATTAAATACACACAGCTTTAACCTGTCTATCACACCTTAGTAAATTGGTTTAAAAATAAAGTCAATCATGGTGTGGTGGGCAGCTTCTAAATATGTCCCCAATATTACCCCTGAGGAATCCTCACCCTCGAGTATGAGCTGAACCTAGTGATTCGCTTTTAAAATCTGAACACAGTAAAAGTGATGGGATGTCTCTTCTGACATTAGGTTATGAAAGATCTCTGGTTTCCTTCTCACTTGCTCTCATTAACTCTTATTCTGAGGGAAGCCAGCCACCATATTGTGAGATGCCCTATATCAAGGAGAAACAAACAAACAATAAAACAAAATAAGAAAATAAAGTAGGCCTCCAGCCAATAGTCAGCAAGGAATTCAAGCATTCCAACAATTTCATGTAATCTTGGCATGAATCCTCCCTCAGTCAAAGCTTCATTTGAGACCAGGCCTCAGACACCTTAGTTTCAACCTCATGAGAGAAGCTAAGGCAGAGTTACCCAGCTAAGCCACATTCAGATTTCTGACTCATAGAATATGTGAGATAATAAATATTATGTATAAAGTCTCTAATTGTTAGGTAAATTGTTACACGGTAATAGATAACCAATATATATAGTACGGTTGAAGCAGAGTGTGATCAGCTGGAGCACAGAGCGTGATAGAATGTATATGGTGGAAATGTGGTTTTAGGCAAGATTTTAGAATGATTTAATATCCATATGTAAAGGCACCTCCTTCTCTACCTTCTTATTAATGATGGATTTTTCTGTCAGTAATATTATCTTTCTTTCTCCTGATTTTCTGCTTCCACTTTTCTTACCCTATGCAATAAATTATCTAAAAGTATAAAAAATTATTTTAAAAAAATATCATG
The DNA here is from genome assembly GCF_000001405.40 of Homo sapiens. Classification (NCBI taxonomy): domain Eukaryota; kingdom Metazoa; phylum Chordata; class Mammalia; order Primates; family Hominidae; genus Homo; species Homo sapiens. The sequence continues at coordinate 88,613,980 of NC_000013.11, read as the reverse complement.
TTAATCTCTTATTTATACATGGAAAAGAAAGTCATCATTCATGGTATCATTATTATTACTCTGCTTCTTTGCTTTGTAGGATTGACAACATTTATGAGGAATCATTTATCTGTATATTTTCTTTCAAATAGCCTATCTCTACATAACTATTTCTGTTTGGTTTCAACATGTGTGTGACAGCTGTCCTATGCCTGTCACAAAGTAGGTGTTTTATAAAATTTTGTTTATATGATTGATTTAATATTTACATATTGATTCTGAAAAATTAAACCTAAACTTCTCTAGGAAAACTACATAAAGGAGTTCATGTCATATTAGGATATTCCACGAACTTACTCATCCTTTAGAAGACAGTAGACAGTATATATATATATATATATATATCGCAATCATTCAGAGATCATGAAATACAATAGAGGACCCAGAAATAAATCCACAGTTACAGCCAATGTACATATTTTTCAGAGATTCCAAGAACATACATTGCAGAAAGGAAAGGCCACCCTCTTTAATAAATGGTTCTGGGAAAATTGAATATTCATATGCAGATAAACGAAACTGGACCCCTATCTCTCACCATATGTAAAAATCAACTCAAGATGGATTAAGCAGTTACGTGTAAGACCTGAATCTGTAAAAAATACTGAAAGAAAACATAAGAAGAATATTTTAGGACATTGTTCTAGGCAAAGGTTTTATGGCTAAGACAACAAAAGCATAGACCACAAAAAGACAAATAGACAAATGGGACTGTATTAGAGTAAAAACCATCTGCATAACAAAGGAAATAATCAACAAAGTGAAGCCACAACCTACTGAATGGGAGAAGATATTTGCAAATTATTTATCCAACTAATATCTAGAATATTAGTTATATTCTAATATATAATAATAATTATATATTATTATAATATATACTATATAATTATTATATAGTATATATTATAATAATATATATTGTAGTATATATTATAATAATATATATTGTAATATATATTATATATTATAATAATATATATTGTAATATATTATATATTATAATATATATTGTAATATATTATATATTATAATATATATTGTAATATATTATATATTATAATATATACTATAATATATTTTATATATATAATTATAGTATATATAATAATAATAGTTATATTCTAATATATTCTAATAATAGGAACTCAAACAACTAAACAGTAAAAATAACCCCCACGAGTAATCCTATTAAAATGTGGGCAAAAAATTTGAATATATATTTCTCAAAAGAAGACATACAAATAGCAAACATGTATATGAAAACATGTTTAACATCAGAGAAATGTAAATCAAACCACAGTGAGACATCTTACCCAGTTAGAATGGCTATTATTAAAATGGTAAAGAATAACAGATATTGGTAAGGATGTAGAGAAAAGGAAACACACACTGTTACTTGGAATGTAAATTAGTACAGCTAATATGGAAAACCATACGAGGACAAAAATTAACTCAAGATAAATTAAAGACTTAAACATAAGACCTAAAACCATAAAAATCCTAGAAGAAAACCTAGGCAATACCATTCAGGACATAGGCATGGGCAAAGGCTTAATGTCTAACACACCAAAAGCAATGGCAGCAAAAGCCAAAATTGACAAATGTGATCTAATTAGACTAAAGTGCTTCTGCACAGCAAAAGAAACTACCAGCAGATTGAACAGGCAACCCTACAGAATGGGAGAAAATTTTTGCAATCTATCCATCTGACAAAGGGCTAATATCCAGAATCTATAAAGAACTTAAACAAATTTACAAGAAAAAAAAAAACTCCATCAAAAAGTGGACGAAGGATATGAACAGATACTTCTCAAGAGAAGACATTTATGCAGCCAACAAATATATGAAAAAAAGTTCATCATCACTGGTCATTAGAGAAATGCAAATCAAAACCACAATGAGATACCATCTCATACCAGTTAGAATGCCGATCATTAAAAAGTCAGGAAACAACAGATGCTGGAGAGGATGTGGAGAAATAGAAATGCTTTTACACTGTTGGTGGGAGTGTGAATTAGTTCAACCATTGTGGAAGACAATCCCTCAAGGATCTAGAACTAGAGGACTGTGGCAATTCCTCAAGGATCTAGAACTAGAAATACCATTTGAACCAGCAATCCCATTACTGGGTATATACCCAAAGGATTATAAATCATTCTACTATAAAGACACATGCACACGTATGTTTATTGTGGCACTATTCACAGTAGTAAAGACTTGGAACCGACCCAAATGTCCATCAGTGATAGACTGGATAAAGAAAATGTGGCACATATACACCATGGAATACTATGCAGCCATAAAAACGATGAGTTCATGTCCTTGGCAGGGACATGGATAAAGCTGGAAACCGTCATTCTCAGCAAAGTAACACAAGAACAGAAAACCAAACACTGCATGTTCTCACCCATAAGTGGGAGTTGAACAATGAGAACACATGGACACGGAGGGAAACATCACCCTTCGGGGCCTGATAAGGGGCGAGGGACTAGGGGAGGGATAGCATTAGGAGAAATACCTAATGTAGGTGACGGGGGTTGATGGGTGCAGCAAACCACCATGGCAGGTGTATACCTATGTAACAAAACTGCACGTTCTGTATATGTATCCCAGAAGTTACAGTATAATTTTATAAAAGAAAAAAAAAAACACAAAAAATCCCTAAAACTAGAGCCACACAATTCAGTCATCTTGCTACCAGGTATTTATTTAAAGAAAAATAAGTCAGTATATAAAAGGGATACCTGCAATCACAAATGTATTGCAGCACTATTCATGATAGCAAAGATATGGAATCAACCTAAAAGTCCATTAATGGAAGAATGGATAAATAAAATATAGTATATATACACACTGGAAAATTATTTAATCATTAAAAAGAATAAAATCATGTTTTTGCAGCTGGAGCAGGGATGAATGAAACTGGAGACCATTGTGTTAAGTGAAAAAAGTCAGGCTCAGAAAGACAAATATTACATCTTCTTACTCGTATTTGGGAGTTTAAAAAGTTGATCTCGTGAAGATAGAGTAGAATGATGGACACCAGATAATGGAAAGTATATTTGGAAGCGGGGGATAAAAAGAGGTTGATTAATGGGTACAAATATACAGTTAGAAGAAGGAATAAGTTTTCATATTTGCAGAGTAGGGTGACTATAATTAATATCAATGGTTTGTATATTTCAAAAAAGCTAATAGGACTTGAGATGCTCCCAACGCATACAAATGATACTCAAGGTAATTGATACCCCAGATAGTCTGACTTGATCATTACACATACTATGCATATAATAAAATATCACATGTGCCCCATAAATATGTATAAATATTATGTATCAATAAAAAATAGTATGGTGCCAAAAAAGCACTTGAAAAATAAAATAAATTTTAAAAGTCTTGAAGATACATTCACATTAAAAATATTTTATAGTTTTTTCTACTGTTGTGAATTTGAGGCATTAGTCAAACTAGAATATATACTGACAACTATGGAATAAATATTGTTGAAATATTTTGATACTGTTTGGTATATTTATCAATAATTTTTTAAAATTACCGAACATAGGGTAGAGTGACAGCGAATTGGAAGATAAATATGTAATTCAAAGTGACAATAATGGCATCCATTATGTTCTAGATTCTGAGAGGTTTATGAGAAATCATTAAATGATAAACTAAATATATACATTATATATATATATATATATTCCATTATTCCATGTGCCCATATTTGGAAAGGCCTATAACTTTGTTCAATATATAAATGACCCAACCATTTAACATGTCACAAATTTTGTGACTTTGTTTAATTTATTCTTTTGTTAATGTTTTTAGTCATATTCATCATTCTGAATGGAATGAGATGAAGACTCTATTAGAGTACTCAGTGTTTCCATAAGCAATGGAAACCTCTTCAATTCAGCTAGTAGTAATGTGAAATCAATTTTGGAGGTTATTCAATATATGCACAGATAATTTATGTTATGCCCTAACTTAGCCTTGAAAAACATTTTACATTCAATATATTTCTTACATTTTATCTACTTCAAATCAAAAAGTCAAAAAGTATTTAATTGTTAAGGATATTTCAATATGATTTGCAGTTCTCAAGATACTGCAAAAAAATCATTTAGTTATTCAACTAATAAATCTCAAGTTGAGTAATGTTTCTTGGTAATTGAATAGGACTTTAACATTCACAGTTTTACACTTTTTAAAAAGCTGATTTATTAACCATAATCTATGTAATTATTATTAAATAAATATAGGGATAGGATGGATATCTGACAGATTTTCAGAAATATTCTTCTGTGGCTAATAAGTTATAAAACTGTGATTTCATCTTCCTGTTCATTTTTTGGTAATTGTCCCATGTTTTCATTTTGGAAATTTATAATTAAAAATTTGGTGTTTGAACAATTAATTCCTAAATAAAAATATAAAAGCATGATCAAAATTTTTATCTTTGTCTTCAAAAATATAAAAGGCAAATTATGCAAAGAAAGGACGCATGTTTGGCATTAGTACTTTTTGAAAACTTTAAACAAATTTTTTTGCTTCATGTGTTAAAACCAAATAATAAATGACATAATAATTATATTTAAATTGGAATTTATATTCATAAGACATTCAACAAGAAATGGATTTCAATGGTGGTCTGTGATTCAAAAGGCCAACCAAAAAGCAAAATAGAAATGCATGTTTAAGACAAAAGAATGCGAGATGTTATTTATGCTGTGTTTTAATTACATATATTAATATGTTGTTATATGTTAAAGTCATTACATGTTATGCATTACACTAGATGTAATTAATGATATTTGGGGCTATTTATAACAATTACGGTGGTCATTTTTTCAGTTTAGTTTATATATAAACAATTCTCTAAATAAAATCTCTAAATAAAATCAGGGCAAATCTGTTTTTAAGGATTCAGATATTCCCACTTGCTCACTCCTGTTTCAAGTTTTGATTATACTCCAAGTAAAAATCATAGTATATGTATTTGTGGTGGTCAAAGTTGTGTGTGAAGGTCATTTTTTCTAAATCAAAAATGATATTTTGGTATTAATAAATAAGATATAATGATCCTTTTTATTTTCCATGTAACAGCAAATATTACAAGAAGTGAAAGTGCTACTTTGGTGGAAAACTGAAAATAATAATCCAGAGTGCAGTAAGATACCATTTAGCTGTAAAATATTGTAGCAGCAAAACAAAATGTGAGATCATGGCAATATTTTTTTACTTCCAGTTGGAAAATTCAACAATTAGAAAATTAAAATATACTTGAAATAAACATTTTTGGCAAAATGGTTTTTAAGTTGTGTTGAATGATTGGAATAATCATAATTCATATCTGTGAACCTAGCAATCAGTACTTAAAATCAATAAATATAAATAATTTCTTTATTCTAAATATGTTATCTATCAATTATTTATTTTTGGAAAACATTGCTTTTTAATAATATAATAAAATCTTTATTGCTCAATCAAACTGTGGAAGATTATGTTTGCCTTTTAAATATATATGTTACTTAAATGACAATGTAAATTAGTGACTCTTTTAGTAGATAGTTACTGATTATTGGCATTATCACTTCACAGCATGAATATGTTATCAAAGCAAGCTTTGCAAATTAACAAACCTAAAGAAATTATAACCTTAATAAATTGTTTTGATATCTTTAATTATGTAGCCATTGATTTTATTTACATTACATAAATTAAATTCAAACTTTAGAAATCAGGGGTTAGACTAAGATTTAAAAGGTCAGCATTATGAGGGCAACTGTGATTATGGTAGATAATAATATGTCTGAGTTCTTTGGTTTTAATTATGACATAGAGTCTGTCATTGTGGAAAATGTATTATTGAAACACTCAGTATAAAGTTACTGAAACACTCAGAATATAAATTTCAATGAAAACTCAGTAAATGTTATTTTTTAACTAATTTTGTATGCCTTTGCTTTCTAAAGTCTAGATAATTAAAGAAGCTAGACTATAGTTCTGGTTTTGGAACAGTACGCTCAAGACAACAACAAATAATAACAGTGATAAAAATATCCAGAAAAAAATGAGATAACTAAATTAATGAGAATTAATAATAGGAAACAAGGAGAAAAAAATTCTAAAACTTTAATTTATATGCTAATACAAATTAAAGACCACTGTAAAAGTCAATTCTTTACTAATTTTTACATTATCAAGAAATACATGTTGGCCAGGTGTGGTGGCTCACTCTTGTAACCCCAGAAGATCACAAGTGGCCAAGGTGGGAGTATTGCTTGACCCCAAGAGTTCAGGACCAGTCTGGGCAAAGTGGCAAGGCCCCATCTCTACTAAGAATAAAAATTTAGCCAGGTGTGGTGGTGTTCACCTGTAGTCCCAGTTACTTGGGAGTCTGAGGCAGGAGGATCACTTGGGCCCAGGAGACAGAAGTTGTAGTGAGCTGAGATCACGCCACTGTATTGGGTGACAGAGACAGACCTCACCTAACAGAAACAAAAACAAACAAACAAAAAAGAAAGAAAGAAAAGGAAAATTAATTATGGAAAATGTACTAAATAATGTAAAAGTTTGAAAAATTTGAAAAAAATGGCAAAGATGATTAAACAATTGTTCATTTCATTTAAGTTTTAATGTGTATTTTTATATAGATAAAAATCATATAAGCCATATAAATCTTTGTATTTATGTTTTACACCAGCATTTTCCATTTTATTAATTTTATATAACCATAATTCTTACTATTATACTATTAAGTGGATATAATGTGATACAGTTATATTTCTATTTTTTCTTTTATTTTATGCTTTGGATATTCTTCCCTAATATATTGTCTTTTTATTATGTTCATATTAATACGTTGACCATCCATTTTATCTGTATTTCTATTATATGCTACATTGTGAAATTCCAGATCATATTAAGACATTATATTGCTCTAATTAGTGTCACGACATTTTTATTATGTAACAAACCTCTGTCAACCATATTTTGGTTGATTTTTCTACTTTTTTCTTCCCAGAGAAAAATCTAGCATGTTTTGTTAAACTGCATGGCTAAACTATAAAATGGGGATTCAATTTTATTTAAATATCTAGTGATATTTAAGAAAAGCTGACATATTTTCCATATTTAGTTTTCAAGAGTCAGAAGGCATACATAAAAGACAAATAATATACACAACAAGTAAAAAAATAGCAATCATTATTACAACCAAAATTTCTGGACCACTTAACGACAGATATAAAGATTAAATTCCAGGAGGTGCAGTGGCTCACACAAGTTGGGAGGCCGAGATGGCCAGATTGCTTTAGTCCAGGAATTCGAGACCAGCGTGGGCAACATGGCAAGACCCTGTATCTACAAAAAAAAATTAGCCAGGGGTAGTGGTACATGCAGGTTGTCCCAGCTACTCAGCAGGCTGAGGCAGGAGGATTGTTTGATCTCAGGAGTTCAAGACCAGCCTGGACAATGTGGCAAAACCCCATGTCTACAAAAATTTAGCCGAGAGTGGGCACTTACCTGTGATCCCAGCTACCTGGGAGGCTGTGTGAAGATCACTTGAACCTGGGAGGTGAAGACTGCAGCGAGCTGTAATCTCGCCACTGTACTCCAGCTTCGGTGACAGAGTGAAACCCTTTCTGAAAAAAAAAAAAAAAAAGATTAAATTCCACTATGACAGATGAGGATGCATTGAGGAAATTCTACACAAAAATTCGAAACTCCTTAAAAAACAATATTTTATAACTTTCTATTTTACTGGTTTTCATTTTTACAAATAGATAATTTTAGGACCAACTAGAAATCTAGATGGCCTTTTCTCTCTCAAGGCACTGGTTTTAAATTGCAGTCAGATTTACTGTTAATGTTATTACAAGGGTCACCAGTATCATGATTATGTTTAATACATTTACAGCACTCTGTTCAACACTATAAAGGGAGAAAAATTAAAAACTAAGAAGGTAAAGGTTGGACAAGAATAAATAAAAATGTAATTATTTATAGCTTATGTCATCTATTCCCCCTCCAAAACAGAATCAAATCATAGAATGAGTCTTTTGCATGTTTGCCAACCTTAAAATCAGATTCAACAAATAATAATATTATGCAAAGCTAACAATAAATAGCTATGAAACTTACTAAATTAAGATACCATTCACAAGAGCCTATCATATAACTTGTGATATAAAGTGCACATTTTCTTATGCATTGACGAATTGTCCTACTCCATTGCAAGTTTGGATTGGCTTCCAGTATTTTATCTTTGCACTTCAAATGTCTTGAAATGCTTTAGAGTAAATTTACTGTGAAAATTTTGGCAGACATCACTTCTTCTGGAACAAATTCATCCTATTTGTCAAACCACTTTTCTCATTTATGCCAATAAATCCACCTTCATCAGATTCCTCTGATTGTATATCTAGAGTCTCTCCAATAGCAACAGTGTCAACACTCCCAGGGTCAGCTATTTCTTCTCTAATTCCATTTACATTTGGTTCACTTCCAGCATTATCATTTTTATTTTCTTCTTTTTTTTTTTTTTTTTTTTTTTTTTTTTGCTGCACCTTCATTTCTGTGGGTCACTTTCTCATTTGTTTATCCATTTTTAAATTAAGTGTCACATGAATATAGCATTAGGATACAAGGAGACAACACAATTAAATGTTTGGCTGTCTGTGTGTGAACTGAGAAAGAGAATCACAGTGACCTTTCACCAACAGACATTGAAAGAAGAGCCTTATACCAGCATGACTTATAATCCTTTGGGTATATACCCAGTAATGGGATGGCTGGGTCAAATGGTATCTCTAGCTCTAGATCTAATGGGTGCAACACACCAACATGGCACATGTATACATATGTAATAAACCTGCACGTTGTGCACATGTACCCTAGAACTTAAAGTATAATAAAAAAATAAAAAATAATAATAAATAAATAAAATTTAAAAAAAATTAAAAAAAAAAAGAAAGAAGAGCCATGGTTAGTCTGTGAGCATGAGGTTTACCTCTTAGTTAAATGTGATTAACATGAGGGAAGAGCTAGCAGTGAAGCTTGTGCTTTGTGAAATTACTCATGGTTAATGGACCTTGGTAACTAAAGTTTGATTTGTGTTGTTGAGAGATTGGTATATTTAAATAAAGAGAGGAGAGAGAGCTCGGAGACAGCCTCAAGTAAAGACAAATCAGTAGAGGATGAAGCATTTCTTTAGTAAATGAAATTAGAATATGGGTTTCCCCCTTGGAAAAACATACAATTGGGTATCTCCTATAACAGAAAAAAGAGGAAATTTTAAAACTATGTTTTTAAAATATTTAAAGCAAGCTATAAAATTAACAAAAGAAAATGTATATAATATCTTTGTGAATGTAGGTGAGAGAAATATTTTCTTTTAAATATCCATTTTTTATTTTTCCTTATCCATTTTATTTCATTAATTTTTTAAAAACATTTTGATTGATAAAATTGTATTACTTATAGTGTGCAACATAATGTTTGATATATGTATAGATTGTGAAAATGCTAAATCAAGCTAATTAACATATGTACTACTTCACATACTTATCACTTTTTGTTATGAGAACACATAATTTAGTCACAGCAGTTTTCAAGTATACCATACATTATTATTAATTATAGTCACCAAAATGTAGAATAGATCTCTTCAACTTATTCCTCCAGTTGAACTAAGATTTTGTATCCTTTGACCAATATCTCTCTAGTCTTCCAATCCCCAGCCTTGGCTAACCACCATTCTATTTTCTACTTTTATGAGTACAACTCTTTTAGATGGCACACATAAGTGAGATCAGGTGGTATTTGTCTTTCTGTGCCTGATTATTTCACTTAACACAATGTCCTGAAGGCTTATTCACATTACAATTTTTATTTGAGGAGGTAAAATGTTAACATGGCTCTAAAATCCAGTTTATACAAACAAGTATTCTCAGAGAATGTCCCTCTCCACATCCTTCCTGCTCCATGCCCTCATTCCTCTCCTTCTCACATTTTTGTTCTGCATAAATATTAAAGGAAGTTTGAAGCATATCATAAACTGAGACAGAACATGTAGAATGTATGTGATTTAAATACATAAAAATCTTTTAGAAGTAAATAAGACCAAGTCAATGAATGACTAGAAAAATTGGCATTTATCTGAAGAATAAAAATAAAATATTCAATAACCATATAAAAAGGAGCTCATTATCCTAAATAATATTTATTTAGATAAATCACATACTGTATCATATCTCCACATTTTTAAAAAGCGAATGACAATATTTTTGGTGAGTATGTGGAACAATAGGAACATACACACATACTTTTTTGTTGTGTAAATTTATGAATCACTTATTAAGTCATCTTCCACCTCCTATTATCTACTAAAGCTGAAAATGTGCATACAGTATTAAACAGAAATTCCATTCTCATGAAGAATGATAAACATAAAATTCAGAAATATGTTTATCCCTGAAGCAGGAGAGAAAGGATGAAATGGGTGATATATTAAAGTTAAGAGAAAGGATATATTTCATAAACCAATAAGTAGATATGCTGGTGTTCATCATATCATTAATTGTAGAAGGTAGAATGATTCACCAAAGATGCCTACCACCTAATCCCTGGAACTTGTGAATAAGTTACAGTACATGATGAAAAGGCCCTGCAAAAGTCATTGAGGTTAAGGATTTCAAAACAGGGAGATTATCCTGCATTATCTGGTTGAGCAAAATCTAATCACATGAACCCTTGAAAACAGAGATTTTTGTTTTCTTTTCTTTTTCTTTCCTTTTTTTTTCTTTTTTTCTCAAGGTAGAATCAAATAGATGTGGCAGGAGGAGCGGTTGGGGAGTTTCCAAGCACGAGTGGAATGCTACCTATCATTGCTGGAGGTGGGGGTAAGACGGATGTAGAAAACATGGGAAGGGATGCAAGCAGCTGCTGGGAACTAAGCCTCTAGGCCCATGGCTGACAGCCTGCAAGGGAATGGAGATATTAGCCCTACATGTGCGAGGAAATAAATATGGCCAGCAACCTGAGTGAGTTTGGCAGCAGATTCATCCACAGAACCTCCAGAAAAAGAGTACATCTTTGCTAATATTACCATTTTGACATTGTGAGGCTTTAAGCAGAAGACCCAACTGGGTTATACTATACTTGGACTTCTGACCTATAGAACTATGAGACAATAAATGAATGTTGTTTTAAGCCACTAAATGTATGATAATTTGTTAAGGCAGCAATGAAAAAAAAATGCACTAGTATGTGTACCTTACACTTATATGTAAACAAATACTGTAATTTATTTATTGATTTGTATAATAAAAATTTACCCCAAACTAACACAAACTAATAAGGACATTAAATATTAATATTAAAAATAAGCCAAACTTTTACTCAGTGGAAATCCAATCCTCATGGCTTCCAGAATTAAATATGGTTTGCTACATAGTGGAGAATTCAAGATTTCGAATTCACAAAGTTGATAAACAAGTTTCAGATTCTTACCACTTCATTTGTCTGTCTATCTATGCTTTTCTGTTATAAAGGACAAAGTGAGCACATACAGGTAACTAATTTTATTTCTCAGTCAACTCAAATTTACTTTGACCCAAGCAAATGATAGTTATCCTTACTTTCCACATTTACTGGCAAAAATTGTTTTCTGTTTTGTATGTTTTCAATGAATATGTAATAAAATAGCTTCAGACATGAGTCAGCAAACTATGACCCAAGAGCCAAATATGGAGTGCCACCTGGTCTTGTAAATAAAGCTACATTCAAACACAACATCCACTTGTTTACTCATTGTATATGGCTGCTTGCATGCTACAATGACAGCTGCGTTGTTGTGACAGAAACCATAAGGTCTACAAGTCGTAAATGATTTACTATTTGGCTTTTTACACAAAAGATTTTAAACCTTGATTTAAGAGAACATATAAATGAAATTTTTCTAATATCTTCATGGTATAAAAATCTATCAAAGACAAATTAGGGATAATCAATTAATTTTAAAAACAAACATCTATGATCTTACGATATTTGAAAAACAAATAATTTAAATATATCTTCAAAATTGTTTATAAAAACAAGTCTTTCAATTAAAAGAGATTGCCTGTCAAAAAAAGAACATGAAATAAAAGATGGAAATTTGTGTCTGAAGGTATACAAGTATTTAACATTATATTCTATAAAGCTCAACATGCCCTGCAATTTTCTATCTTTGTTTATTTCTCCTTTATACGGAAAATAAACTTTCCCTTTCGCTTTTTTTTTTTTAGAAACAAATCACTGGTCCTTGATTTATGTCATTACAAGATGTTGCAATCATACATAATGATGGCTAGTTTTCTTCTACAAAATAAGGTCAAAAAGTGAAACAATTAAAAGTTAATAAATAGGCCGGGCGCGGTGGCTCACGCCTGTAATCCCAGCACTTTGGGAGGCCGAGGCGGGCGGATCACGAGGTCAGGAGATCGAGACCATCCTGGCTAAAACGGTGAAACCCCGTCTCTACTAAAAATACAAAAAATTAGCCGGGCGTAGTGGCGGGCGCCTGTAGTCCCAGCTACTTGGGAGGCTGAGGCAGGAGAATGGCGTGAACCCGGGAGGCGGAGCTTGCGGTGAGCCGAGATCCCGCCACTGCACTCCAGCCTGGGCGACAGAGCGAGACTCCGTCTCAAAAAAAAAAAAATAAAAATAAAAAAAAAATAAAAGTTAATAAATATGTATTTTTTTCTTTATGGTATAAAAGAAAAAAATAATTTTGTAGCTCATTGTTTTGCTCATAGAACTGCTGGAATGAGAAAGAATGAATTGATTTCTCTGCAGTGGAAAAAGGTGAAGGTTGAAATTGGACTGTATTCTACGAGAAGTATAATTAGATAAAGTTAATGTTCCAAGCAGGATCTATATGTTCTGTTTCTAATTTCCAGTCTTCACAGAGCTTCTAAATCTTTTCTGACTCTTGGCATAGATTTAATCATCACTTTCACTGAAAATGATTTAAAATGATTTCTTTCTGTGACTTATTTATACAATAATTGAGCAAGACTCCAAGACTAGTCATGGCCTAAAACAAATAGAGAAGAAAATATAAATAAGCAACAGCCAGCATATAGTATGCATAATAAAATTTTATTTGCACATTTTTTTCATAAGTCACCAGCATTTGGAGAAATACATTTTAATAAAATAGTTATGCATTGTTATGGCCTCCTGAGTTTTTATGTATTTTCTTTGCTAAAAATGGATGGCTATATGGGACGACTGGATTTTCTCTCTTGAGAAGGAAGACTAAGCTGTAATATCGTCTTTAAATATTCACTTCTGAAATACATCCTAAATTTTCCACTGGGTAGTCCTATGAGGGGGGCATAGGGATATATAACCAGGAATCTTTTTGCTGGTATGATCAAAACAGTGGCTTGTAGGGTCTGTGATGGATGCAGAAAGTGGTTTGCTGGAAGAAGAAGATTAGAATGTTTTATTCTGGAGAACTTGAAGTTTAAATTTAATTACTTCCTTTTTTCTTAATGTAATGAGTTAGTGTTTTGTTCTTACATGGAGTCCAGATAGGAATGGTTCTATGTTCAGAAACAAAGTGTACTTGCAAAAGCTTATTTAAAAGGGAGTAAGTTAAGGATAAGAAAGGAGCAATAAGCACTCTATTATTTATTCAACGTACACTAAACTCTTATTAAGATGCAGAGAAATATCATTTCTTGGAATGGGTTATCTGGAACACTATGTAGTGCACAATTTATAACCTATGATTTGAGCCACCTGAGGCACACAAGTCTGTATGGACTCAGCAGTTTAGCAATTCTCAGGCAATAGAAACTTACTGTCCACCCTGGCAGGAAACCTGGAATCAGCTCTGGTTGAGAATTTGTATTCATTGCTGGACAAATATTATATTTTTTTGGAAAAGAATTGTTAAATTGACAATTATGCATACATACCAGGGATAACTGAATCAAATAAAACAATGCAACCTCTCTGAATATAAATGTCTTAATCTGTAAAATGAAGCAGATATTTGGCATTTCAAGAAAATATTTTGAGGATGAAGTGACAGTGTTTAAATTGTTGGCCTCTTGAATGCTCCCAAAACCTACCTAAATAGTCCATTTCTTTGGAATTTACACATTGGGTATCTACCTTAATGCTAGTAGAACAGTTTATCTATATGTAAATGTGATTAAACCACAATTCCTCTTAATATCCAAGCAATGCCTACCTCTTCATGGCTCTGACTTTAATTTTTGTGAAATGAAACATTAAAACATTTATGAGCTGGCACTGTCTTCCCTTTTATGTTATTCTTATAAAACACTAAACTCCTTTATTTTCTAAGTAGGCAACAAATGTTCCACTTACACAGTGTGTTTACATTACTCATTTTGTCACATATGTAGGAAGGTGAGGGTAGGAGGTTTCCATTTCTAGTCATTAATGACTGATTATTCTAATTCTTTAAGAGATCTTAGATTTCACACTCTTGGTAAATATCCCCTGATATAACAAACCAACAACAATCCCCCTCCACCAAAAACATAAATGGTTAGATGTTGTGTTGTTCTTCTGGAATACTAATCCAAGCTCTATAATATCACTTATTACATGTAAATTAAATTATATTTAAATATTTCTGTATTTTCATGGTTATAGTAAAATATTTGAGGGCAAGAAAAACAATTTATTCATATTTATAAACTTAGGTAATAGTGGCTAGCCTAATAAATCCACATAGAACAGAACAGAAAACACATAGTATTTTGAGTAGCCAATAGTAGCAGTCAATATATGTGAGTTAAATATCAGTATTTTATTTTACTTTATTTTATTTTTCAAAACACTGAAATTTATTATCTCACAGTTCTAGGGCCAAAAGTCTGAAATTAGTATCAAGGCTGAAATCAGTGTAGCAGGATGGCCACACACTGTCCAGAGGTGCCTGGGAAGAGTCTATTTCCCATCTCTTCCATTCTCTCATAGGCTATCAGCATTCTTTGGTTTGTAGCCACATCACTCCAATAGCTGCCTCCATGGTTATCGCCTACATTTCTGGATGGGTAAAATTTCTCTCTACCTGTCTGTTACAAAGACATTTATAATTGCATGCATGCACTCAGATAATGCAGGATAATTTTCCGATGTCAAGATCTTTAACTTAAAAATATCTGCAAAGATAATTTTCTTAAAATTTTATTTTCGATTCAGGGAGTACATATGCAGGTTTATTACCTGGGTATATTGCCTGATGCTGAGATTTGGGTTACAAATGATCCCATCACCCAAGTACTGAGCATAGTACCCAAGTTTTAACTTTTGAAATCTTGCCCTCTTCTCTCCCTCTCCCTTCTAGTAGTCCCCAGTTTATACTGTGGCCATTTGTTGCCATCTATATGTCCATGAGAACTCAATGTTTGGCTCTCATAAGTGAGAAAATGCACTATTTGGTTTTCTATTCTAGATTAATTGGCTTAGGATAATGACCTCCAGCTGCATCCATGTGGTCGCTAAGGACATAATTTCATTCTTTTTTATTGCAGCATAGTATTGCATGGTGTATAGGTACAACATTTTCTCTTTTTTTCTCTCTATATATTTATTATACTTTAAGTTCTAGGATACATGTGCACAACATGCAGGTTTGTTACATATGTATACATGTGCCATGTTGGTGTGCTGCACCCATTAACTTGTCATTTACATTAGGCATATCGCCTAATGCTATCCCTCCCCCCTACCCCCACCCCACAACAGGCCCTGGTGTGTGATGTTCCCCTTCCTGTGTCCAAGTGTTCTCATTGTTCAATTCCCACCTATGAGTGAGAACATGCAGTATTTGGTTTTCTGTCCTTGTGATAGTTTGCTCAGAATGATGGTTTCCAGCTTCATCCATGTCCCTACAAAGGACATGAACTCATCATTTTTTATGGCTGCATAGCATTCTATGGTGTATATGTGCCACATTTTCTTAATCCAGTCTATCATTGTTGGACATTTGGGTTGGTTCCAAGTCTTTGTTATTGTGAGTAGTGCCACAATAAACATACATGTGCATGTGTCTTTATAGCAGCATGATTTATATTCCTTTGGGTATATATCCAGTAATGGGACTGCTGGGTCAAATGGTATTTCTAGTTCTAGATTCCTGAGGAATCACCACACTGTCTTCCACAGTGGTTGAACTAGTTTACAGTCCCACCAACAGTGTAAAATTGTTCGTATTTCTCCACATCCTCTCCAGCACCTGTTGTTTCCTGACTTTTTAATGATTGCCATTCTAACTGGTGTGAGATAATATCTCATTGTGGTTTTGATTTGCATTTCTCTGATGGCCAGTGATGATGAGCATTTTTTCATGTGTCTGTTGGCTTCATAAATATCTTCTTCTGAGAAGTGTCTGTTCATATCCTTTGCCCACTTTTTGATGGGGTTGTTTTTTTTCTTGTAAATTTGTTTGAGTTCTTTGTAGATTGTGGATATTAGCCCTTTGTCAGATGAGTAGATTGCAAAAATTTTCTCCCATTCTGTAGGTTGCCTGTTCACTCTGATGGTAGTTTCTTTTGCTGTGCAGAAGCTCTTTAGTTTAATTAGATCCCATTTGTCAATTTTGGCTTGTGTTGCCATTGCTTTTGGTGTTTCAGACATGAAGTCCTTGCCCATGCCTATGTCCTGAATGGTATTGCCTAGGATTTCTTCTAGGGTTTTTATGGTTTTAGGTCTAACATGCAAGTCTTTAATCCATCTTGAATTAATTTTTGTATAAGGTGTAAGGAAGGGATCCAGTTTCAGCTTTCTACATATGGCTAGCTAGTTTTCCCAGCACCATTTGTTAAATAGGGAATCCTTTCCCCATTTCTTGTTTTTGTCAGGTTTGTCAAAGATCAGATGGTTGTAGATGTGCAGTATTATTTCTGTGGGCTCTGTTCTGTTCTGTTGGTCTATATCTCTGTTTTGGTACCAGTACTATGCTGTTTTGGTTACTGTAGTCTTGTAGTATAGTTTGAAGTCAGGTAGCATGATGTCTCCAGCTTTGTTCTTTTGGGTTAGGATTGACTTGGCAATGCGGGCTCTTTTTTGGTTGCATATGAACTTTAAAGTAGTTTTTTCCAATTCTGTGAAGAAAGTCATTGGTAGCTTGATGGGGATGGCATTGAATCTATAAATTACCTTGGGCAGTATGGCCATTTTCACGATATTGATTCTTCCTATCCATGAGCATGGAATCTTCTTTCATTTGTTTGTGTGCTCTTTAATTTTGTTGAGCAGTGGTTTGTAGTTCTCCTTGAAGAGGTCCTTCACATCCTTTGTAAATTGGATTCCTAGGTATTTAATTCTCTTTGAAGCAATTGTGAATGGGAGTTCATTCATGATTTGGCTCTCTGTTTGTCTGTTATTGGTGTATAAGAATACTTGTGATTTTTGCACATTGATTTTGTATCCTGAGACTTTGCTGAAGTTGCTTATCAGCTTGAGGAGATTTTGGGCTGAGACGATGGGGTTTTCTAGGTATACAATTATGTCATCTGCAAACAGGGACAATTTGACTTCCTCTTTTCCTAATTGAATACCCTTTATTTCTTTCGCCTGCCTGATTGCCCTGGCCAGAACTTCCAACGCTATGTTGAATAGGAGTGGTGAGAGAGGCCATCCCTGTCTTGTGCCAGCTTTCAAAGGGAATGCTTCCAGTTTTTGCCCATTCAGTATGATATTGGCTGTGGGTTTGTCATAAATAGCTCTTATTATTTTGAGATATGTCCCATCAATACCTAATTTATTGAGAGTTTTTAGCATGAAGGGTAAAATGGATATATACCCAGTGATAAGATTGCTGTGTCAAATTGCATTTCTGTTTTAAGTTATTTTAGAAATCTCTAAACTGCTTTCCACAGTGGCTAAATTAATTTGCATTCTCACCAAAAGTGTATAAGCATTCACTTTTCTCCACAGCCTTACCAGCATCTGTTGTTTTTTGATTTTTTAAGTAATAGCTATTTTGACTGGTGTGAAATAATATCCTATTGAGGTTTTGATTTGCATTTCTCTGATGGTTTGTTATTTTGAGCATTTTTTCATGTTTTTTGGCCACTTGTCTGTCTTCT
The DNA here is from genome assembly GCF_000001405.40 of Homo sapiens. Taxonomy (NCBI): domain Eukaryota; kingdom Metazoa; phylum Chordata; class Mammalia; order Primates; family Hominidae; genus Homo; species Homo sapiens. The sequence continues at coordinate 88,595,810 of NC_000013.11, read as the reverse complement.
TTAAAGAGGTGTCTGTTTATGTCTTTTGCCCACTTTTTAAAGAAGTTATTTGTTTTTCTTTCTTGAATTATTTAATTTCCTTAGATTTTTGGATATTAGACCTTTTATAGATGTATAGTTTGCAAATATTTCCTCCCATTCTCTAGATTGTCTATCTACTCCATTGATAGCTTTTTTCTTCTGTTCAGATGCTCTTTAATTTAATTAGGTCTTACTTGTTAATTTTTATTTTTGTTGCAATTGCTTTTGAGGCCTTAGTCATAAATTCTTTCTCAAGTATGATGTCCAGGATGAGCCAAAGGTTTTCTCCTGTGATTCTTGTAATTTGAGGTTTTTAATTTAAATCTTTAACCCATCTTGAATTAATTTTTTGCATATGGTGAAAGGTAAGGATCCAGTTACATTCTTCTGCATATAGCTAGCCAGCTATCTCAGCACAATTTATTGAATAGGAAGTCCTTTCTCCATTGCTTATTTTTGTCAACTTTGTCAAAGAGCAGATGGTTATAGGTGTGCAGCTTTATTTCTGTGTTCTCTATTCTGTTTCATTGACCTTTGTGTTTGTGATAGCAGCAGTGGCCTATCTGAAATGGCTTCTGTGAAGATGCCAGCTGCAGCAGGCGAGGCATGGCTGGGGCTGCATGTTTCACAAGCCAATGGGAGCCAGAAACAAGCAGAAGCCTCATTCCCTTCCAAGTTGGCAGGGTAGGAGCCCTGCCCTTCAAGGCACAGCTGAATCTACCCATCTGTGGCTGCAGACCCAGGCATTCCTACATTCTCCAGAGCCTGGGAAGTCCCCCTGACCCCACAGGCTCAGAAATGCCTGCTCCTCCTGCCTGGCCTCTCCCTGCTCCCAGCACCCACTCTGATTTAAGAACAAAGTTGAGGGAGATCCTAGGTGGTGTTGTGACCTGGCTGGGTCTGTGCACACTCAGGGCGGTGCTGACACATTGGGCCCCTGGCACCTTGGCACTCTCTCTGGACTTTGGGCACCAATGAGCATGTGGGATGAGGGAAGCTCAGCATGGGCCTGCAGGTGCCTCTTCACTCATGAAGCTTAGTTTGGTGGGATATAAAATTCTTAGTTGGAATACTAGCCAACCCAATTCAGCTGCACATCAAAAAGTTAGTTCACCATGTTCAAACAGACTGCGTAAGTGGGATGGAAGGATGGTTTAATATATGTAAATCAATAAATGTGATTCACTACATGAGCAGAATTACCTGTGAAAACCATATAATTACCTCAACAGATACAAAAAAGCTTCCAATAAAATTCAACTTAACTTCATGATAAAAAGTCTCAAGAAACTAGGCATCAAAGGAACACACCTCAAAATAATAAGAGCCATCTATGACAAACAAACAGCTAATATTATACTAAATGGGCAAAAATGGGAGGCATTCTCCTTGAGAACTAGAAAAAGACAAGGATGCTGAGTCTTACTTCTCCTGTATAACATAGTATTGGAAGTCATAGCCAGAGTAATCAGAAGGCTGATAATAGGCTCCCACTATCTCCTGTTTTATGAAATTTCTGCTGAGAATCACACTGTTAGCCTTATGCGGTTCCCTTTGTATGTGATTGGACCCTTTTCTCTAGCTGTTCTTATATTTTCTTTAGCATTGACCATGGACAGTCTGGTGATTATATGCATAAGTGATGTTCATTTTGTATAGTATCTCACAGGTTGATATGGTTTGGCTCTGTGTCCTTACCCAAATCTTATGTGGAATTGTAATCTGCCGTGTTGGAGGAAGGGACTAGTGGGAAGTGATTGACTCTCCCTTGCTGTTCTCATGATAGTGAGTGAGTTCCCAAAAGAGCTGGTTGTTTAAAAGTGTGTAGCACTTCCCCTTTAACTTTCTCTTACTCTTGCTCCTGCCATGTAAGATGTAATTTCTTTCCCTTCATCTTCTGCCGTATTTGTAAGTTTTCTGGTGCCTCCCAGCCATACTTTCTGTACAACCTGCAGAACTGTAAGTCCATTAAACCTCTTTTCTTAATAAATTACCCAGTTTCAGGTAGTTTTTTATAGCAATGTGAAAACAGACTAATACACAGGCGATTCTCCGGATTTCTTATATCTGGATGTCTCCCTCCCTAGCACAGTCAGGGAAACTTTCTAGAAATATTTTATTTTCTCTAATGTTTCCCAGGTTTTTTAACTTTTTCTCTTTCTCCATCAGAAATTTCAATAATTTGTATGTTGACTGGCTTTATATAATTCCATATTTCTTGAAGACTTTGTTCATTATTATTATTATTATTATTATTACTTTTTTATCTGACTGGATTAGCTCAAAAGACCAGTCTTCAAGCTCCAAAATTCCTTATTTTGCTTGGGCCAAACTGTTGATAAAGCTTTCAATTGTATTTCAAAATTCCTTGAGTGAGCTTTTCAATTCCAGATTCTCTGACTGATTCCTTTTTAAGATATTTATCTCTTCATGCATATAGTGAATTTCTTGAGAAGTTTCTTTGTGTTGATTTTCAACCCTGTCTTTGTTTTTTTTGAGCTTCCCCACAATTCATAGTTTGAATTTTTTATCTATCATTTCTGAGTATGTTATTTCTTCATCTGTCTTTCTGTCATATCTGAGTTTTAATTTTGGTTAGGGACCATTGCTAGAGAGCTAGTGCAATCCATTGGTAATGTCACTACATTCGGATTTTTTATGGTGCCAATTATTTTCTCCTGTTTCTTCTCCTCTGTAGATATGGGCTTCTATAATTATTAAAATTATTTTTATGCAAGTAGGATTTTTATTTTTTTCTCCATTATATTATATTTTTTTCCCTTTCCTTTCCCTTAGCCTGCTCCCTAAGGAGTGCAACTGTAGAGAATTCTTATTACAGTCTTTTAGCTTTTCTACTATAGCCCTATGCACTTCTTTCTGCAGGTTTTATACTTGGCAATATACTTTGATCTACAAGCAAGTAGATTGCACTTATAGGTAACAGCCATCTGCAGCCAACATGGCTAGGTATATACTTGATCCTTGTTTACTGGCAGAAGCTCTCTATTGCCTCAGGCAATGAGACAGTTAATGAAATGTACAGTGGTCTATGCTTGCTGCTCAGCACTGGAGGTATGAGTCCATGATTGATAGCAATGTACTAAGCAGGTTGTCATCCTACACATCTCCTGATGGCTGGCACAAGCATCACTGTCAATAAAGAATCTAGTGGGCGGCCCCCAAGTGCCCAGAGGTGTTCCTGTGTTTGGAGCTGGAAAACTTTATTGGCCTAATTTTCTCTGCATGGGAATCAAAGGTAGCCTAAGCTCGTATACCAGGAGAGTGGTAATGACAGATATCTGGAGATCTGCCTGGTTTGGAGCAGAGAAGGGCCTTCTGCAACAAGATTTCTGCCCAGGAGATGTTGGGCAACTGAGGCTGCTGAACCAGGCAAGCAGGTTCTCTGAAAGCCTGAAGATCTGCCTGGGCATAGAGTGGAGAGGCCCTTGCTGCACTACAATCAGTGCCCAGAAAGTGTGTAGTGACTCATGCTGCTGCACCAGGCAAACGGATTCTCTGAATGTCTGGAAACCTGCTTGGGCATGAAGTGCAGAGGGCCCCACTGCACCACAGTCTATGTCCATGAAGGGTGAGGAATCTCAGGCTGCTGGCTGAGGCAAGTGGGTGCTCCAAATGCCTGAATTTCTGCCTGTAAGTGGATCAGAGAGGAATCCACTTCACCACAATCTCAGGGGAGCAGGCTGGGGCACCCAGTAATGACACACATAAACCAGTTCCAGGTAACAAAGCTGGCGTTGGCTGTAAGTCTTACCACCCAGGATAAACTGCAGCTGTAGCAGTTTTTCTCCCACCCCAGGTTTGCAATGAGTAAAAACACAACTTGAGCACCTACTGTTGAGGTGCTTTCCACAATTCTGGCTGTGAAGGATCCTACCCTGATCCAGAGCAGGCACTCCAATCTCTGGCCCAAGACTGAAATGCCTGTGTGGCCATGCTGCTGACCCACTAAAGAATGGCTGACTTTGTATGCACCTGGATTAAAAATTATGTTATGCTCTCAGTCCTAGGTCTGGGAAAATGTCTGCAGCTTTTTCTAGTATCTTTTCCTCATAATATCTCCAAGGCTCTTCCCAAGTTAGCTCTAGGGCTTAGGAAAAATGACGTACTCTCCTGCAAGTTGGGTTGCTTGGATCTTCAGTGGAAAAGTGAGTCACAGAAGGAGGCTTTCTATGTCTCTCACATACTGGGACTTCACTAACTTTTATCAGCTGGATGCTACTTGACTGTGATCTCTCCTGGGGATCTGGAGTCCTTCACAATTCTGGTGGATTCCTGTTTTTCTTCTTAAATTAAAGCTAATAGAGTTGATCTTTATGCACTATTTTGCAATTTCCACATGTCTCAGCCATGGTGAAAACCTATACTCTGCCATCTTGGAGGAAAAAACTATCGGCATTTTATGGACAACAGAAAAGGGCTGCAAAATAAAATTAATTTAAAATTACCTTTATATATTCAAACATATAATTTATATAATTTGTTTTTTTCTATGAAAAAAAGACACAAATAACATTTCAGTGTATAATTTACCATCCTCATTTTTTACTAATGTCTATTATCCTGTGGGATTTTATTGACCTAGGCTTTCTTTGATTCTCAAAATACAAGTTAACTCAATGCCAATTTTGAGAAAAAATATAAAAGTTGTGTTTAACTGTCCTCTATTTCTTAAATTTCTAGAATGTTGGAGATATATTTATTGACTTAAGCCTTTCAACATTTTTGTAAATGTTGTTTCTATGTAAATACGCTATGGCCTTGTAAAAACATGTTTTCATTAAAAACTGCCTTTAACATGGAGGAAAATATTTGATTCAACTTTAATGAGGTTTAATAATGAACACAAATAAATTTAGCTTATGTTTTATTGCATTTGTGCACTTAATATTTTAAAATCATGTGGTTATAACTCTTAACACCAATTGTTTACTTATCATTTATTTATTTTAAGCAATTTTAGTAGGAACTATTGGATAGTGATAAGGTAGATGATGCAATATTTGTTTTTTATGGGTTCTCTTTTTGAATTTGCATGGCAGCAAAATACGTTTGAGTTTTATTGTATATCATTCTGAAAAAGATTTTGTTAGCTCTTTGTGCTGGGGAAATTAAATGGTAGTCTTATCTAGTTGAATTAAACTCATTTGTACCCTGTGATTCTTTTGAAGTAAATTGTATAACATAATGAATGGGGAAAAATCAATAGCTTTTATAAATAATTTTATAAGGCATATAAATTTAAAATATTATCACTGTACAATTATAAAATTCATAATATTTAGTTTTATACTCTACATAATATATTTGGTAATGTAACCCAAATATAGAAATTAAATTTAAAATTTAATAAGCAAATTACATTTTTATTGTTATTTTCCCACTGTTATGATTATCCACTCATTCTACAAATACTTATTGTGAAACTTTTTTGTGAGGCACTCTTGTAGACAATGAGAACATATTATACATAAGATAGCAAAGAAAGTCTCTTTATACAAGAAGCTACTTTTTCCAAAGTGGTTTGAAAGATACTTGAAAATTTTTAGATAGACAAGATAATTTCAGAGATAGAGCAATGTTATGGGGAAGAGAGTAGGATGAAATAACTACAGAAATAAAAGTTACTTTAGGTACAATGGTCAGGAAATGCCTTCATGTAAAAATTTGCTAAAACTCTGAAAACAAAAACCAGTCAAGTTCATATTATGGTGAAATAAACCAGAAGGAGTGCAAAGCGAGTTAATGAAAGAATGTACATTTTATCTTTATAGAAGTGAAAAACAATCCGTGGAGGTTGAATAGAGTGTGCAATATAAAGATGGGAAAAAAATCACCTCAAAAAGAAAGGCAGAGTATCTGCAGAACCATGCTGTCAAGATGTATATACATATATAAAATATAGTTCATTTCTATGCAGTATGTTCATTGTATATTTCTAGTGTGTGTGTGTATATATATATATCTTATATATATGGATATAAATATGGATATTCTATTAAAAAATAGATACAAGGAAGCAGTTCATAAAAATAGATACAAGGAAGCAGATACAAAGATTTCAGTTGTAAAACTATGATAGCATTGTAGCAGCCTACATGTGACTGCATGTACACGTAACTGCATGTACTCTTAGATGTTGTCTTCTACACTGAAAATCTCTGCATTTACATGAGTATTTTTAATTAATTGATTTTGCAAATATTTATTAAGATTATGCTTGCTCAAAAATGTACTAGGCATTGAGAACACAAAAATGAATTAGGTATTATCTCCAAATTGGGTGCACAACACTTAACATTATGGAATAAATCCAGTATATAGAAATGTGTATTAAGGCCTAAAACTATAAAAGAAAGAAAAGATCTGGAGCTGACTGTGACCAGGTGGGTTTCATGAATAATTTTCAGGATGGCAAACCTAGTGTTGGTTGAGTCTAGTAAATTAATATCATGTCATTACTTCTGAATGCCACCAGTTGCTATCTCCAGATTAGCAGAGGTGCAATCTACTAAAAGTAAATGAAGAAGACTGTAGTTCTATGAAAAATATAACTTGTTTAGTTACACAGCAGACTTCTGACATTCTGCTTGAGAAGAATCATCTTGAGCATGAGTGTAGATTCAGAGATGAATTTTCCATAAAGCCAATGAAGGTAAAGATGCATGTCTCCTCATTGCATAAGCCCCTTCACAGGGCTTTAGCAAGGTGTTCACTATGATTTTTATGTCTTTAAAAGATTTTTTAAATGAAGATGGTGTCTATTTTTACTCTTCCTTTCCCTCTCCATGAGACTTAGCTTGCTGTCCATTTGCATAAATGTGGTTGCAGGTGCTTTTGGAATAAGGTTATGATTAAGGAGAATAAGGAATACATTTGGTTCCACTTTCGTGGTGTATATTCAAATGGTTATAGTCCGGTCCACGTATAGTTAAGTAATTGTTAGAGCTCTCAGTTTGAAAATGGCTTCTAAGAATCAGGATGGAGTACTTCCAGTTACATTCATCCATGAACTTTTAAATTTATTCAACTATAATTTATTGAGTACCTATTATATGTCAGGAACTATTCCAGGAATTAGGAATAGAATGGTGAACAAAAAGATATTTATCCAACTACTAATGTTTCTGACTTCATTTCTTACTGAATGTATACTTGCTCACTTTGCTGTACACTTATGACTTTTTTCCTTCCTGTTCTTATTCCAGGTACATGTGCCCACTTTCTTGGCATCATGACCTTAGTCTAGGTACAGAAGATGTGTCCACTATTTGCATAGATTCTATAGGAGGTAGGAATGGGATTATGTAGATTTTGAAGGGGAAAGAACTGTTCACCAGACTGAATTATCTTTACTTAAGAAATATCTCAAATTATTTTTATAACTAGAGGTGATCAGTGAGTATTTACCTAAATGATACAGAAAAAAAATTATTATAGAAGTGTCAATGAGTAAATTACAAAGAGTATAGTGATATTTTTCTGGATTTTATGATATATATTGTAATTTCAGTTTTATTAGCTTTGTAATTGGCTGTAATTTTACTCATTATAAATAAATATTCATATGCATATAAATTATTACTTACTATTTGTATCCTTTATTTCATATTGTATAAGCTTCAAAGCCCACAAAACCTGAATCTACCCATGGCTATATTCATGTAGGAATTTATTGTTTATGTAGTATTTCATATACAGTTTCTCAATTAGTGTCCTTTCAAATATGTATTTGGCATCTGCATTTTGCATCAGAAAAAGAAATTAAGGCTCTGAGAGTTTAAAGATATTTATTCCCCAAGGTCATACAAGTGAATTGCGACTCAGACATATCTTTTCCCATCCCAAGCCCGGTACTCTCCCATATACACAAATTTTTCCTATTTGCATAGTGAAAAAAAGCAGGTGAATTTTCTAATTTTGGTAAAGCAGGGCTATTTATGTTTCTAAATACAGTTTACATAATAACAGAAATGTTCTTAGATGTTATTTCCTTGACACAACAACTAATTTCCAACAGGGTTCATAATGCATATCCTTACTATAGTGTATTTGAGGAACTGGCTAAGGTCATTTATATGTGCAATTTTGACTAGAATATTGGTGTACTTAAAGCAATCATGAAGATAATATTTTTTTCTTTTTTCTTTGTTTTTGAGACGGAGTTTCACTCTTGTCACTGAGGCTGGAGTGTAGTGGCGTGATCTCGGCTCACTGCAACCTCTGTCTCCCAGGTTCAAGTGATTCTCCTGCCTCAGCCTCCTGAGTAGCTGGGATTACAGGTGTACGCCATCCCGTGAAGCTAATTTTTTGTATTTTTAGTAGAGACAGGTTCCATCATGTTGCCCAGGCTGGTCTCAAACTCCTGACCTCAGATGATCCACTTGCCTCGGCTTCCCAAATTGCTGGGATTTACAGGCTTGAGCCACTGCACCTGGCCGAAGATAATTGTTTCACAAGATAATCATACACTCCTTGGGAAACAACCAACCAACAACAACAAAACAAGAATCTATACCAGAAGAATTCTCAAGCTTTTGTGAGAGTGTGTGGAATTTACCCACAAAACTGCAGTGAATCATTTTATAATAATTTATGACACCGTATTTTTGTGTTTCTAAAGTAAGATTTTAAGGTTTTAACCACAGAGGGAGTAAAGATTAAGCCAGTGAATTGGAAAATCAGAAAGCTCATTGTGCATTCCATAATATTTCCTAGACAAACGTTTTATGAGCAGCTTGTTCCAGTACAATCCAAAGTAAGCTGACGGTATACTTGTGAAAAATATTAAACATTCAATAGCTCAAGAAAGTTGTAAACTAGTGTAATTTTAGGTAGAATACTGAATAATAAAATAAGGTAAATTTAAAATTACATATATTAAATATAGAGACTCTATGTTTTTAAAATACAAAAATCTTGTAGCCTAAGATGTTTTGTTAATCAAACAAATACTAGAGAAATTCTATTTGATGTGAAATGCAAATTCTAGAGGGAAAAAATGATACAAGTGAATAATTTATTGAGAAAGAAAGTACAAATTATCCCAAGCCTGTTTTTAGTACAAGACTTAGTGATAATTATTAACATATACCAAACTTTATTCCCATAATATACTATTCTAAAATTAGATAGCATTTATAGTTTATGCTTTCTGATATTATATGCAATTTTTATATAACCTTAGCACAAATAAATTTAACTCAGAATTTCAACTAATTCCAAGATCCTAAAAGTCTGATCTTAGGATCACCTTTTAAGTCTTTTTTCAGACTCCACATACCATCCATTCCTAACACAGATGTCTCCACCACCAACAAACATGCTGAGTCATAGGTGTTAAGAAGTAGGGAAAGATTACCATATTATTTGATAAATTATAGTTATTTTAAATTCCATGTCTAATAATTATCTGAGTTTAGTTCTTATTATTGACATTTACCCCTGGAGTGTATTTTTCCTTCCCTTTTCTTACATCTCATTTGCTGTTCTTAAAAGACAGACACCTTTGTAGGAAGGTAGTCCCTGAGTTAAATATGGTTTATGTTTGCTGATGGTCATGACTTTCCCTTTAATGTTGGATTTGTTTTTTCGAATTTAGTTTGATGTTTGTTTTTCTTATGGTTACCATCAGTATACCAGAAGCTTTCAATCTCTGTTTAGTGTGTGGGTGGTTTGCTGGAGGTTAATTTCTTAACATCTGTTTCCTTTGCCTTTGGGTCTTTCCTTTGCACTGTGGCCTGGAGAGAATCTGTCTCTTGTAACTAAGTTGTATTCCACTGTTACTTTTACTCAATGCCTGAGAACCTGTTATGGACGAAGTGGCAAGAGAATGTTTTCTGTTTTCAATAAGCTTCAGTCTTAGGTAGGCACTGTATTCCAGGATCTCATGTGTGTGACTTTTCAAAACTTTTTGCCCTCTTCCACCTAGAGAGTAAACATAGTATGTCTATTCATCCATTTTTTTGCTGCTGATAAAGACATACTGGATACTGGGTAATTTATAAAGAAAAACAGGTTTAATGGACTCACAGTTCCACATGGCTGGGGAGGCCTCATAATCATCTCAGAAAGTGAAAAGCACATCTTACATGGTGGCAGACAAGACAGAATGAGAGCCAAGTAAAAGGAGAAAACCATTATAACACCATCAGATCTCATGAGACTTACTACCAAGAGAACAGTGTGGGGGAAAGTGCCCCAATTATTCAATTATCTCTCACCAGGTCCCTCCCACAACATGTGGGAATTACAGGTGCTACAATTCAAGATGAGATTAGGGTGCAGACAAAAGCTTGCAATAGGGTACAAACCCCTATGCTGATCCACTAGCACGCTCATGCTAACTCGTGCTCAGCCTTTAGTAACTGATTAAATATTTTAATCTGAACTTTCCTTTATGTTGCAACCCATGGCCTCTGCCTTATAGAAGTAAATGTTCAAGCATTTTTTCTTTATTCAGGTGCCTTTTTTTGCCTGTTTTTTCAGTCAGTTGTTTGCCTTGGGACCTCAGTTCTGAGATGGGGTCCAAAAAAATTATTAATTTGCAGTCTGTCCGACTTTTGCCTTATAAGTTTGGGAGTGATGCCATTTCAAACCCTCTTCACTGAAGTAAAACTACCTTGAGTTGAATTATTATTAACTTAAAGATTATTAGTTTTATTTCTGGTAAAAATGCCATTATATATTATGCATTTTATTTAGTTTATATATTTAGAGTAACATATTTATAAATCTAATTCATATTTAAAGTATATATATATATACTCATAGGTTTATGAATTCACTGTCATTCACATATAATTATAAAGAGAAAGAAATGAAAAACAATCATGGATAGAATCTTTTTGATGCTGATGTTAAAACAAAATGTGGCTTAATATTTGATATGTTAATGTCACATTTCTCCTTTCCTAAGCAGTCTTTTTCTTAGGGTGGTATCCAGTAAAGTATTCCAATGACTATGTATTGCATCCTAATTGGGAGCTAAGTTTTCAGGAGAGTGGGTGCTGACAGAGACTCTCACTTTATTAAAGCTGCCTATTCTCTTTCATCCCCAGAAGAACATATTTTGTGTAACAAACTTCATCTCATTTTACATAATACTTTCCCCAGTGTATTTCTTCAATTCAGCTTTTCCTTCTTTATAAACAGATTCAAAACTTCAAAATTAAAATAACTTTGTTCTTCTTTCCATCCCTCCCTTGTCCTCCACCTCACAACATGCAGAGACTCTAGCATACGGTTTTCCGAAGTCCTATAACCTAACTTAAATCACTTCTTTGTACTGGCATCCTATATCTTTACAGAGATTAAAACAAATTCTGGTGTGTTTTATGTATACATGTTCATGGTAGATATTACTATTTTAGAGACATTGATAGTATGACCCAAAGTACTTCATTTTATTTTTCTAATACTCTTACACTTGACTTCTTTGAGAGAAAAACACCTGCATATATAAAATATTAAAATTACTGTATCTGATATAACTCAACCAAACTGATAATTTCTCTTTCTCTCTACATATGTCCACTTGTTTTCTTGTTTAAAATTTATGCATTAAAATATAAAGTAGAATAATCAATTAATGTAGGTAATTATATTCTAATGTGAGAAATATTTTGAACTCAGAAGCATTTAAGTCTAAAGGAAAAATGGAATAGGTTCTTGATTAGCATATATTCAAAATTCATTGAAAGTGGTATGGAAATAATCCAATATGAGAAATACATATCTTCCTGCCTGAAAAATGTGGTAACAATCATGCATATGTTGCACCACACTTCTTATCAATACCTAGATGCAAGTGAATGATAGTTTTTGCTTCTCTAGTTTCCATTATCTGTACCTCTAATTCTTCTGTTGTACATATTTTATTATGTTTCACATTTTTCCAGTTTATCACAATATATCACTAGTTTTTTTGTTTGTTTGTTTTCAATTCTTTCTTTACAGATTGTCCAAGGTAAGTTTCTTTCTCTTACTTCTTGCTAATAACTATTTAGAAATTAGTTTTGGATTCTCAAATCTCTCCTCTAATTGCCACGTGTTCTAGCTAAAATATAGTTCAATGTATCAAATTTGTTCAAAATGCTACATGCAAGTTTCCCCTGAAAAATTTAAAAATAAAAAACTAGATAATTTGTCACTTGAAAAATGGGGTGGGAGGAATTTGAAGTGAGAGCTCTTCTCATGTACTGATATTGCTAGATGGCACGGTTGTCATTTTTTGGGAGGATAGTGGGAGACTCTGTAAAATTACTTAAATAGACACACTTTATTTTTAAATCAATTTCCAAGAATTTATCTTGGGTAGAAAATCACAGACATACACACAAAGTTTCAATGAAAATGTTCAGACATTTTAAATTTCACTGATTTGGGAATTTTAACACCTCAATGTACATCAACAGGGGATTTATAAATTAAACCAAGGTTTATTCCTGAAACTCAATTTGTAAAGCTGACTAAAATAATGTTCCCCCCAAAATGAATTCCCTTTATAATATCTCCACCTACATATTTATCCTGTGGCGGTACTCACATTTCCTTCTACTCTTTTACTGATGCCATATATTGACTGAAAATGTGAATATTTTATTTATATATTCATACGATGTTCAATATAACCATCATACTTTAGTCACTATCATTGGATGATAATTAATCAGATTGAAATAGGAAAAGTTTTCACTCTTCATGTTGGTGCAAATCCAAAAGCTTTAAAACTTTTGGTAAATTTAAGGCATACATTTACAGTGGAAAAATTCAAGCTCAAAGTGTAAATGAGCTAGCTATAATTTGCCAAAAAATAAATATATATGTATATATGTACGCATTTCATATATTGTTAATACAAGGGAACATTCAAAATACGAACACATTAAGAGTAGTAGATGGCAGGAGCATATTTAAATTTTATTTGACTTGTCTGTTTTTGATGAGTTTCCATCAGAGCCGAGAAACACCCTTTGTTTCACAAGCATGCCACAGTCATGTACTACTACTCCACAAACATACCTGTCTCCTGTGCATATGTTTACTCTGGTTTTTGGCTTCATGACAAACTCTAGTACATAAAATAAGTCCTGCTATCTGGGCTGCTTTTATCTCAGGTAGAAGACTATATTCTAAAAGAGAGCTTAGATTACTGATAGCACATTCTGCTTGATAACATCAAATTTTGGTTTTGAAGTATGAGCCATCAACAACCAATATTAGGTCAGAGTTCTTCTCAATAGGAGTCTGTAATACACCTGAGCAATATTTACAGAGAACTCCCTAACCAAGGTAAGACAATCATGAAGCTCCTTTCTTCTGATAGGGGCAGAAGAGTGGCAGTATCCAGGGTGTTGCCATACCAAATAGTGATGTAAGAAGGAGAGAGTAATAAAATCTCATAAGAGGTAAATCAGCTGGCCGAAATGTGTTGTGTGTTCTCAGTCAGTAACAGTGTTTCTACTTCATGAAGATCATGAGGTGAAATGGGGAGCCTAGAACTACTTCAGCAGAATCATAGAATTTTTCTTTGGCAGTTATCATCCTAACATAAGAGAAATACGCCTTTGTAATCAGATCAAGGGTAAGGCTATCATAAGTAAGGGGTATTTGATGGTTGCCCTGAAGTTAAGTTAAAATTCCAAGAGCTTGTCCAGATTGCTCATGCACAAATAGATGAATGGCAATTTGTGCTTATGGTTGTCTAGAGAAAGAGGCTGTTGAAGCATCTTCTTTAGAGTACAAAGGTCCTGTTCACGTTTGAGCTTACAGAATAGAGCATATTGTACAGAGGACTTAGTCAATTCATAAAGAGGTGTAGCAATCTCAGAAAAAAAATGGCAGTCATTCACAGCAACACTCAAATACAGAAAATTTTTCACTTGTCATACTGTGAAGGGTGTAGATAAATAGTTATTGGATAACTATTTTTCTATCAGGAGAGAATTTTTTTTCTCTCTTCAGATAGGTCATTCCCTAAATAATTAACTGTGTTCTGTCAAAATTGTAATTTAACTTTTGAAACTTTATATATTTTTTCTGCAAGGCTGAGAGTAAATAAATGAAATTATTTTTACAGGTTTCTTTATTTTCTGAACAAAGTAGCAGATAATCTACATATTATACAAGTATTGAGTCACAAGGGAAATTTAGATATTTCAAGTCCTAGATCTGGGAAAAGTAGGAGGAAATTTTAATGATCCCTGGGGCAGACTGTTGAGGTATACTGTTGTCCTTCTCAGGTAAAGGCAAAGAAATGAACTCAACTGGCCTACAGGTACATTGAAAAAGGTAGAACACAGATCCATTAAATTGAAGTGGCTTCAGGAGAAATTGATGACAGGATGGTATTTGGTTTAGGTACTATCAGAAAACAAGATATAGCAGTTCTGCTGGTGGTCTTGAGGTTTTGAGCACATTGATATCACTGATATCCTTGTTCATTTGGTTTCTTTACTGGCAGGATGAGAGTTAAAAAGACTCACTTTTTACAAAGTGCAGGATACAAGATGATATTTGGGTATAGGGTTTCAACTACAAAATTGAGACTTTCTTTTGATTTTGTTTCAAAGACTATCCAGATATTTTGGTAGGATTTATATTTTACAGTGCCTTTGCTGGTTATTTTGTCTATATCAACGGAACTTTTAGCCCATAGAGAGATGCAGTGGCAAGATCCTTATGCAGGGTGTATATTAAATGCAATGAGGAAAGGAAAAAATAACTAGAGTAGACCTAACTTCGTCATGAATACAAGAGTCTCTTCGACCTCAAGAAAAAGCCCTTTTGATATGCATTTAATATTGAATTCAATTTGCAAAGTATGTCTGTATTGCTAAATTTGAAGGAGTTAGGTATCACAGAGCAAAAAGAAATGTTTTGCAGTCAAGGGCACCAGATTTATGGTTAAGTGTTAGGAGAAAAATCTGTTGGTTATTTGAAATACCTACCACCTATGTGGCACGTTAATTCGAGGAAGAGGTTGAACAAAGGTAGTGGAGTTTAATGTGGCCAGGGTGGTAACCATATGTACCAGAAATTCATGAGGGTGACCATCTATATTTATAGTTAATTTACTTTGAGTGTTTGAGAGTATGGCAGGATGTTAGATGATTTTTCCCTTTTCAGAGCACCTCCTTTGATCTAAATTAAGGGATTTTTAAAATCTTGGTTTTTCTTTTGTAAAATGAGACCATCTTTTTTTCAGCGTCCACTCTATTTACAGTATCTACCAGTGTCCTTGTCAGTAGGTGTCCAACTGGGAGATGAGCCACCAAACAATTTCATGTGTAGGACTAAAACTTTATATTGGTTATGTCTCATATTTATTCTAAATCGATTTTAAAATGTGCTGCCAAATATTGAAGTTCAGATAAAGGGATTATTTCCCTTTTTTTCTTTTTAATTAGGTCTCAATTTCAAGTTTCACTTTACTGACAAAATGAGATCAAAGGGCTACTACTATATTAGCACATAACTTACAAGTATTTTCATAAGGTATTCTCTATTCTATCCAGAAAATATCCTATTCTTTCATCTTTTGTTTGTTTGTTTGCATAATTAAACAATGATATATTAAATTTTTATTAGTCATTTTTCAGGTATGACTTTTAGGAGACTTTCATCTACTTGTCTGGCCTTTTAACGGCCTTCAGGTTAACTGTGGAAAGAAAGATCTCCTAGGTTCCTTTCCAGGAGTGTCAAATCAGCTCTTTCTATCACATATTTAGCATCCAAGGTTATGACTGACATTTGTACAAGGTGATACTGGTCAAGTAATCCTGGGTGTCATGAAACCAAAATAATTCTAAATTCTCTCATGAATATTTACTTGTCTTGCTTGGGTTGAGGTAAATTTTTATTTTTAACTCTTAATTCGATTCAAGTTCAACATTTAATTATATAATTGCCTACATTTGTAGTTCATGAGAGGGATAGATATTTAGAAACCACTGGCATATTGGGATTTTAGGAGAGTTGTTGGGAAAATGTAGGGTTTTCTGGTCAAGGATGGAGGAGTTGACAGGAGTGCCAAAAGAGGGAGATCAAAAGGAAAAGAGAGAAAATCTGAGTATAAGAAAGGAACTGGGGCTTAAGAAGAGAGGATTTACTAGGGAAATGGATTTAGTTTGTTGTTGCTTAAGTTTGCTGAATTGCTCATGGTCTTTGAGCCAAATATGTTTTAGTAAAGCAAATTTTAATTGAGAATTTTATTTGGAGGAATTTGAATATCAATCAAAATATGCTACCCATTAGGTCTGAGAAATACTGCCTTTCTTTTCTAAGACACTTCTCAAATGAACAATTTTATTTAAATCTGGCAGTCACCACAGCGGCTACACAAGACTCATTCGGCCTTGGTGAAGTTGTGCCAGTTAGAAAGATAGGTACAAATAGTAGAATTGTAATGAGAGTACATTGAAACAGAATTTTTTTTTTCCTGAAAGAGGTGAGGATTCACACTTTAAAAACCCCCATTAGAGCTGTCTGTGACAATGAGGGACATAATTCTTGTGTTCCTTTTGTCTTGAGCTCCCAATCTGACAATTGGTCATCTCTGAACACAAACTGAATAATCTATGCCCGGTGGCAGGTGGAAAACCAGAAAGAATGCTCACCCTGAATCAAAGCTGACTTCTCAGGACAATAAAAATGAGATGGAAGAACTTCATTTGGATTTATTGATCACTCACAGCACAGTTTGTTCAAGTGAATGTGGATTCGGTCGGAATTACAAACTCACCATCCCTGAAGCTGGTTTGAAAAACATGCTTATAGGGCCTATGCCTATATTCTACTCTGTGTTTCGTCTTCTAATAAGAAGCAACACTTTTAGACAGCACAACGTTAAACAGTAACACAAAAGTCAGCAAAAAGAGATGAAAATAAATAGTATGAATCCACCAAAGATGTCAAAAAATAGAACTTATGACAAAACCTAAGTACCAAACGTTGAATAAATAGCAATGAAATCTATCACAGAGTTGAGTTCAGACCCAGTGCTGACACTACATTATTGAAAATTCAACCTGTAAGCAGCAAGTTGCAAGCATCCTCTCTGGGTTATGCACCTGGTTGAAGATTTGCGGCCACAGCATCAGACAGTGCAGAGCGTATCTTAATAGAACCTTCACTATAACTGTGGAAATATATGATCACTCAAGTAAGAACAAGTAAAGGCATTTATTCAGAGTTCGCTATAGCAAGAGAGTTGGCAACCACCAATTGTGTTTTGGAAAAGACTCGAAGGAAGGCAGAGGAGTGAGAAAGTTTTATGATGAACAAAAGGGAAAAATCTAGTGTGCCTTGGTTGGAACTGTTGGCATGGAAAGGCTGTAGGCAAGCTACCTAGAAGCAGGGCATCCTATGTAATTGGTTAGGGGTGCATATTTAGCATTTTATATTTGAAGCTAAGTTGGACATTGGGGCAAAAAATAAGAAATCTTTTAGTTATTAATTAGGTTTTACTCATTTTTGACTATTACAGGGATTATTGTTTGGTTTTCTGAAATGGTTCCTAATGATAGTAGTTTGACTTCCTGACTGGGTACTAGGTAGATGTAGATAATGGCTTGGCTTACTGGATTAATTGCTATGGTTGTGAGTCAGTGTTTTATTTTTATATATGATCTGAACATTATCCATTTGCATATTCAGCTTCTCAATGTACTCATCACTCTGCAAAGGATTCTACATGTAGTAAATTATTCTGCTGTAAGTCCTATGATACCGATATTGCTATCATCTTTATTTTACACACAGAGAAGTTGAAGCCTAGAAAAGTTTAAAAGCATCTCTAAGTCACTCAGAAATTATGATAATATGATTCAAAAAGTCTATTGTGTTGCTCTTAATCTACATAGACATGCTGGCCAATAGAAATTTCTAAGATGAAAATATTTATTATATGTAATGTCTAATATGAGTAGTCACATTCACATGTGACGACTGAGCACTTGAAATGTGGCTAGTATGACTTAAGAACATACATTTTAATTATACTTAGTTTTAATTTAACTATTAGTTCAAATAGTCACATGTGGCTTTTTGTTTCTGCATGAAAGAACATAGCTCTGTATAATTCTATGAAAACAAGTTTTCAGGGAAATAAAATGTTTTTAAACCTAACTTGTTTGAAAAGAAAAAAATATGAAACAGCTTGCAGGAGACTAGCATGAAGCATAATTGCTTTATATCATATATATGTATATGTGCATATGTGTGTATTATATATATTCTATGTATGCATATATTACACATTCTATATTTACTAGTAAATGTGTTGTATATAAAATGAGTAACAACATTTATAGCTATAAGTATGGTATACTTAATAGGATATCTTGATATACTACTAGTAACAATAACAACAGTAACAAGGAATTAAGCTGAGTCACTATAATAAAGATTAAGAATTCTTGCTGTTGATGGAGCAAAGAGATAACTGAGTGAAATACATTGGATATTTGTTCCCCAAATATCATGCTGAAATATAACCTGCAATATTGGAGGCGGGGCCTGGGCCTGGTGGGAAGTGATTGGGTCATGAAGGAGGATTCCTCATGTCTCGCTGCTGTTTTTGTGATAGAGTTCTTACGCGATCTGGTTGTTTAAAAGTCTGTGGCACCTCCCTCCAACTCTTTCTGCCACTTCTGCCATGTGAGAAGCCTGTTCTCCTTCCACCTTCTTCCATGATTGCAAGCTTCCTCAGGCTTCCCCAGAAGCTGAACTGATACCAGCATCATGCTTCCTATACAGACTGCAGAATCAGGAGCCAATTAAACCTGTTTTCTTTATAAATTACCCAGCCTCAGGTATTTCTTAATAGTGATTCAAGAATGGCCTAATACAGAAAATTGGTACCAAGAAACGGGGCATTGCTATAAAAATATCTGAAGATATGGAAGCAACTTTGGAATTGGGTAACAAGCAGAAATTGGAAGAGTTTGGAGGGCTCAGAGGAAGACAGGAAGATGAAGGAAAATTTGAAACTTCTTAAAAACTGGTTAAATAGTTGTGACCAAAATGATCATAGTGATATGGACACCAAATTCCAGGATGATGAAGTCTCAGATGGAAATGAGGAACTTACTGGGAAATGGAGCAAAAGTCAAGTGGATTTTGCCTTAGCAAAGAATTTGGCTATATTCTCTTCATGCCCTAGGGATGTATGGACTTTTTAACTTCAAAGTGATGATTTAGGGTATCTGGGGGAAGCAATTTCTAAGCATCAAAGCATTAAAGAAGTGACCTGGCCTCTTCTAGCAACCAAACTCAGATGCAGGAGCAAAGAAATGACTTAAAGTTGGAATTTATTTGTAAAAGGAAAGGAGAGTGTAAACATGGAAAATTTGCAGCCTGGTCATTTGGCAGAAAAAAGAAATAACTTTTTCAGGAGATAAACTAGAGCAGAGTATGGAGCAATCACTTGCTAAAGAGTTTTGTGTAACTAAGAAGGAGCCAGATGCTGATAGTCATGACAATGGAAAAAGGCAAGCCTTCCCATCACAGGCCCTGAGGTCTAGTCTGTACAGTCTAGGGACACTGCTCCTCACATCCCAGCTGCTCTGGCTCCAGCCTTAGGTCAAAGGGCCCCAGATATAGCTTGGACCACTGCTTCAGAGGGTGCAAGCCATAAGCTGTGGTGGCTTTCATGTGGTGTTAAGCCTGTAGATGCAAATAATGTGACACTGAAGGAGACTTGGCAACCTCTGCCTAGATTTCAGAGGACATACAAGAAAGCCTTTGTGCCAAGGCAGAAGCCTGTCACAGGGGTGGAGGCCTCCCAGAGAACCTCTACTAAGGCAGTGCAGAGAAGAAATGAGGAGCTATAAGCCCCAAACAGAGTTCCCACTGGGGCACTGCCTAGTGGAGCTGTGGGAAGGGGGCCACCGTCCTCCAGACTCCAGAATGGTAGATCCACTAACATCTTGGCACCCTGCACCTGGAAAAGCCACAGGCACTCAACGCCAGCCCATGAAAGCAGCACCAGGGGCTGTAAGCTGCAGAGCCACATAGGTGAGCTGCCCAAGTCCTTGGAAGCCCACCATTGACTCAGTGTACCCTGAATGTGACACAGAGAGTCAAAGAAGATTATTTTGGAGGGTTAAAACTTGATGACTGCCCTGCTGGGATTTGAAGATTCATGGAGCTTGTACCCCCATTCTTTTGGTCAGTTTCTCCCTTTTGGAATGAAAATATTAACCCAATTCCTATGCTCCCCATTGTATCTTAGGAGTAAATAACTTGTTTTATTTTATAAGCTCATAGGTAGAAGGAACTTATATTCAGATGAGACTTTGGACTTGAACTTGGGACTTTTGAGTTAATGCTAGAATGAGTTAGGCTTTAAGAAACTAGTGAGAAGGGATCATTGTGTTTTGACATATGAGAAGTACATGAGATTTGGGGGGCCAGGGGTGAAGTGATGTTGTTTGGATATTTGTGCCCTCAAATTTCATGTGGAAATATAATCCCCAATGTTGGAGGTGAGGCCTCATGGGAGGTGATTGAGTCAAGGGCATGGATCCCTCATGGCTTGGTGCAGTCCTCAAGATAGCGAGTGAGTTCTTACGAGTTGTGGCTGTTTAAAAGTGTGTGGCACCTTCTTGCCCCCATTCTTGCTCTCACTATGTCAAATGCCTGCTCCCCCTTTGTGTTCCACCATCATTGTAAGCTTCCTGAGGCCTCACCAGAAGCTAAGAAAATGACAGTACCATGCTTTCTGTATAGCCTGCAGAACGATTAGCCAATTAAACCTCTTTCCTTTGTAACGTACCCAGTCTCAGGTATTTCTTTAGAGCAATGCAAAAGCAGACTACTACACTGAGTCACCAAAGATCTTTCTGTCCCAACTGTGCTGTAGTCTCTGTAGTAACAGCTGTCACTGAGTTTATACAACATTTTTATGATCTTACTTCTATACCCCATTAGTGGAGATTACTTGACATTTTCAATTTCTAAAAACCAAATGAGTCAAATACGTTACACTTAATGCGTATAATTTTTCATTGAACTAAACACTAATTTCCTCTTTAATATAGTATGCTTTGTATGACACATTGCACATTAGATATTGAGACTTAGACATTCTTTCTCCCTATATAGGCATTCAGTATATGAAAAATAATAATAGTATACATAAAACAAAAATATAAATGTAATACTGCAGAGATAAGGACCTGAAGTTGTTATATCTGATGTACTTTCTACCAAGATAATATTATACACTTCCATTCAACCTTGACATATTCTTAGTGAAATATGTATTCTCCTGTTACTGACAAATGCCAAACAGCAACTTCTCCTTTTTAAGTATTTGGCATAATGATAGATATTTTCCAGTTCAAATTACAGTCAGAAGTATATTGTTTAGAAGATACCATTTCTTATACCTCTATAATGGCAAATTATACTTTTGAAGCCACTCTATAAGAGCAATCAACTTTGATCATTACCTCTAATGCTGTTTCTAGAATTATCTGTTTTTCTTTTTGACAAGGAGCACTTTAAATTCTTCAAGAACCAGTTGTAAATTTTACTCCTCAGAATACATAAGATTCTGGCATATGTTTAAAGACAGAAAATCTTAATGCTTTCTATTTTTTTCCATCACTTTGACTCAATCAACATTGAATGACTATTTTTACCATGCACTAAAGATAACTGTAATTTCAATCCTCATGTTAGTTTCTAGGTTTCGAAAAAATAGACAACTAAGTAAATGTTCTTCAATATAATATGTTCATTATACTGAAGGACAATGATAGCTTTATGTATAGAATGCTATAGAAATGCAAACATAGAGCACCTAAATAGCCTTTAAAGTTTATTGAAAGCATCCTCAGGGAGTACTATCATACAATAAAGCTAATAATGACAAGAAATTATAATATTAACAGCAAACAAAAAAAAAACATTATTTTTATTCACCCTTTCATGTTCCTTCTCAGATACTCTGAGTACAGAAATCATGAGACATTATTCAAAGAATATAGTTTCATATTTTGTTCCATCTTTGATAGTCATCCTTGAACTTTTTGAAGCATTGACATGCATTTGTTCCCTTAATATGGTTTCAATAATGAATAATCAATCCAGATTTACATTTTTAACAGCTTAGAAACAAAATATAGCCAAATAAATTAAATTGGAATCAAGACATGAAAAATTACTTGTGAATAATCTCATTTCAGCATTTTCAAATGTAGTTTTCTTGTCAATTCATAAATAATAAATGCAAATGTATAACAGTGATTGCTTATTGTCTGTTTTCCTAGATGGAGACTCTGAATCATCACAATAAGATAAAATTACACTTTAAAACTATTAAGTAACCCAATGCAACAAGAATATAGTAAGTACGAAATAGACTAACAGGCTTAGGACTCATTAATGAATTTCCATAACAACTATTTACTGAGCACCTTCTACATATGAGGCTGTGTTCTAAGTGCTGTGGTCCTGACAGTTAAAATAAAAAACAAAGCAAAACAGAAAAAAATATCTGCCCTCCTTCAGCTTACATTCTAACAAGTGGTCATCATTTGGTTTGAAAACCTTACATATCTGTTTTAAAATTTAAATTTTTATTGGCCACAGTCTTTTGTTTTTCTAATTTCTGTGGAAGATATTCAATTATAATACTATCTTCAGACTTCATTTATGATTTTGCAGGCTATTAATAACTTTAACAAGGACTAAGCTGGTATTCAGATATATGGGTCCAGAAATTGTGATTTATTCATTAACACAAAGAGACGATGTTCAACTTGTAGAGTTTGTCTGCATAGAAGGAACAAATTGAAGATAGGTTGTATGAGGAATTTAAAGTAGGATATTGGCTATTATTTGTGGTTATTTTCATAGCACTTTTATGAGTAGTTCTAAATAACTCTGCAGACATTTCTTTAAAGTTCAAAAAATTAAGTATACTTAATAAGGATAAAAATATACTAAAAAATTCTTTTTTTCATTTTTGATTTTTTAATCATTTTTTTAGAGACAGGGTCTCACTCTATGACCCAGGCGGTGATGCTATCACAACTCACTGCAGCCTCAACCTCCTGGGCTCAAGCATTCCTCCTGCCTCAGCCTCCTGAGTAGATAGGACTACAGGTGCATGCCACCACACATGGCTTTTTTTTTTTTTTTTTCATGAGACAAGGTCTCACTATGTTGCCCAGCCTTGTCTCAAAATCCTGGCCTCCAGCGATCCTTCCACCTCACCCTCCCAAAGTGCTAGGATTTAAGGTATAAACAACTGTGCTGGACCATGAAAACTTCTTAATTTTTTATTTTTCCTTTATTTAGATATCACATAGACTACAGTATAGCGATCCCAGTAGGTTATAACACTATTGAGAAGATTATAACTCATGCAATTTGGGTCACCTTTTGTGAGGCCTGAACTTTGAAGATACTATTTGTCTTAGAAAAATGTAGGCTGATGTAAATTTAAGAAACACAAGGATTCTTCACAGAGATATCTGTAAATAATTATTTTGGCTTCATTTAAATTGCTAATATATTTTATTTTAGGGTTACTTTAATATGAAAAGCCTAAGATGGTTACACCAAGGGCTGTAAGTTTTAGGTGGAGTGGCATAGCTGTTTGGGGTGATGATATAGGAATAATATTTTTAGTGATGAAAAATCTGACGAAGACACTACCGATTGATAGGCACTCGATTGAGTTAATTAGGAAGGGATTGTTTTCATTAATAATAGAGTTGTGAAGAGAGGTTGTCCTATCAGTGCGAGGAAAATGATACGGTGCTACAGACAGCTGTCAAGGAGGTGGCAATAAGAGTGATTAAAAGGGCTCAGGCATTGGTACACAACGTGTTTGTGGTTATGAAGATGAGGTCTTTGGAGTGGAAGCCTGTGAATAAAGGTATTCCTGTAAGTGAGAGGCTGCCGATAATAAGGGAGGAAGAAGTGAAGGGCAGAGCCTTGAATCATCCTTCTATTTTTCAGATGTCTTGTTCATCATTGAGGTTATGGATGATGGATCCAGAATATATGAATAGTATAGCTTTAAAAAAAAGTGAGTACAGATGTGAAGGAATGCCAGGTGTAGTTGATTAATGCCAATTGTGATTATTATAAGGACTAGGTGGTATGGTGGTAGGGTGTTTTTAACCGGAACCATTATATAATTTTCCAAATAATCATCAGATTTTTAGTGATCCTGTGATTCTGGGCTGTGAACTTCACAAATGTTTCTTCTTGTATAGCCTCCCTTCTTTAGTTCAACCAGGGAGACTAAAGCACCTGGAGTTAGAGGAATTCCTTTTCTCTCATCTTTGGTACAAAGTTCTAGTACCGTGTTTGCCCTGAAGAGTAGATACTTGTTATCAAGAAGGTTCTATATGAATTTCATATGGATTACACTTTCTCTCTCCTAGCCAGAGCCAGATAAGGATCATTATCAGATCTTCAACCTGAGAACTTAGTGGAATTCTGGAAGTTAAAACCTTCAAAGTGTGAGGCTTCCACTAAGACAGCTGACCGAGGAGATTTTTACTCTCACTTCAGCCCATATTTAGCTTCCAACAATTCATCAAAATTACAGTTAAGTGACCCAACCAGTTTATGGGTACAATGGTTTCTGTTCCAATTTAGTAGATTCTAACTGGGGCTCTGGAGTCATCTGCGTCTCCAGATTTTGGTGTGGCTATTTTCTCTGCAAATAATTTCTTTGATAGGTTTAAGAAAAGTCATTGGTTTCACTTTGTCTAGATTTTTCTTGTTATTAGAATGGGCATGACCCTTTTCAACGTCTTTAAATGGTGGCACTGAAATGGAAGTTAAAATATTACCTCTTTAATCACGGTTTGGGGCAGTGACTGTTTTCCTTAATTCTTTTGAAATGTTAGAATATTATGGGAGAAGGCATAAGTATTAGTTCTTTTTTCTTGCCTCCAACCCCAGAATAATGGAGTGTGCATGAATAAGAGTTACTAAAATAGGCTGACTTTCAGATAAAAAATAGCAGATTATGAAAATCATGGAATTGTTTAACGATTAAAACTAATAGAGACCTTATAAGTTAGATATTCAATATTCAGAATAAAAAATCTATTTTGGCTCAGCAGGCTACAAATCCCCTAAAGAATGGGAGTGTGCCTGGTTTTAGCAAAATGGCAGACCAGAAATAATGGGAAGGATGAATTGTGGTCAGGAGAAACACCTTGGAGAATTTTGACTGAAATTGGTTCTTACTTCCATATAAATTCTTATGGCAAATGATGATCAGACAATAGGACTAAGGTAAATTAAAATTTGAAGATTATATAAACAGGCTAAGCAAGCTAAAGTAAGTTTTAGTTAATATTTTGATAAACTGTAATAGTTACACTGTATTTTAGGCATTATTAGAGTTAAATGATAAGGACGTTGGACACAACAGGAGTTTTCCATGTCCCCTTCCCATTATAATGATCGCATGTCAGATTGTTATTTGTTTTAAGCTTTTATAACAGTTATAGATTTTAGAAATGTAAACACTGGATTCTATACAAGTATTTGGAGAATTTTTATTGATTGATAATGTGAGATAAGTGCCCTTTAGATACAGGTAATAGTTAATATTCTTGGTTGACATAAAGGAAATAGTCAATTGAATCATTACTATTCCAAAGGCTACTACTGGAACATTCTGCTTTTAGGAAAATTAGAAGATATAAAATGGGATGAATTAAAACAATAACAAAAGGAAATCAACTTTAGTGTGCCAACAGACCAAGCGCAGTAAGAAGATGAAAGAAAAATAAAGAAGAATGAAATAATTGAGCTAAAGTTAGAAATTATTTTAGGAGAAGATACAATATTGCAAAGGCCAAATTTTAGAAATAACAATCAGCAAAATAGATATTCTGAGAGGGTCCTGAAAGAGGTATTTATTTTAGCCATTAGGAGATTAGGAAACTTATAAAGAACATACGGTGTTCAGAAACTGCCAAGAAAAAATAAAATGTAAGATCTCAGAACAGATATAATTCATCTAGAAAATGGAACCCAGAACCAGAAAATTATTTTAAAGTAGCCAATAGTGTGGACTAGATATGTTGGCCTGTAAGATCTAGGAATGTTATTAAGAAATATTTTCCAGAGTAATGTAGAATACTTAAAGCAGTATTGGTTAGATGTTAAAACATGTATTGGAGATAAGGAAAGAAAATAAGAAAATGTACTAAACCAAATTTAAGAGCAAACCTGTTAAAGTTTACACACTCAAAACCTCATGGAAAGTAACAGAAATAATAAATCCCACAAAAAGATGCCAAGAAGAAAAACAATTAACTAGATTTACTTTTTTTTTTTTTTTTTTTTTTTTAAGACAGTGTCTTTCTCTATCGCTCAGACTGGAATGTGCAGTAGAGCAATCTTGGCTTACTGAAACCCCTGCCTCCTAGGCTCAAGCGATTCTCCTGTCTCAGCCTCCCAAGTAACTGGGATTACAAGTGTGCACCACCATGCCCGGCTAATTTTTATATTTTTAGTAGAGACGGGGTTTCACCATGTTGGCCAGGTTGGTCTCGAACTCCTGACGTCAGGTTATCCGCCTGCCCCGGCTTCCCAAAGTGCTGGGATTGCAGGCGTGAGCCACTGCGCCCGGCATTGGATTTACATTTGTTCAACAATGAAGAATAGAAAAGACATCTTATGGATACTATTCCTAATGAGGGAGAAATTAAGTGAGCAGAAATTTTTTGAGAACATAATTTTTTTTTAAAATAAACAATACATTCAATGAGTTCATGGCTTTCACTTTGCATAAGGCCACAAAGTGAAAAGACAACAAGAAAAGCACAATAGAAAGACCTGCTTTGAGGCTAAGAGAAAAAAAGCAAAAAGAAAATTCTTATAATCTGGGAACAGTGATAGCATTATATGTGGTTAAGGAGAAGAGCAGTGAAGCTAAGAAGGTTAAACATTTCCAACTGTTTTCAAGTAGTGGGAAAAAACAGAGAATCAAAAATCTAGAGGTATAAGATCATGTGAAAGATGAAAAGAAAAATTAAATGAGGAATGGTGAGGCTTCAGAAAAAAAATAGGAAACTACTTATTGGCCTCCATGAGAAATATGAGGATTCAGGGTTATAGAAACACTAAAGACTAAAGTTTTTCTAAGAGCTATTGTTAGTTCGTTTGCTTGTTCTTTTGTATTTTTGTGACCTTCATGCCTGTTTTTATACAGAAATGCTTTTAATCTTTTATTTTGTTTTCACAATTGTTATTTAACATATAAAGTTATAAGTTCAAAATTGTTATTTGGAACCCTTGATGTTTATTAAATTTTAAGTTGATCTTGCAAAATAATCTCATTGTTTGCCCTAAAATAATCTTGCCAATCATTTCTAGGATTATCAGAATAATTTTTTGTCTCACAGACTAAAATATCGTTAAGCCATTTTAAATGTTTTAAATACATTGAATAGATAAGTACTCTGTTTTATAAAATAGTTCAATAATCTGATTTAATAGACAAAATAATTCTAAGTACCAAATAACTGTTAAATTCAACAGATTAAAATGGCCATTCATAGAAATTTATGACTTAGTCTAAAAAATTCACAAGTTTAAATGAATTATTCAATGCATTTTACACTGGAGTTGTAAGGCTGTTATTGTAATAGCCCGTGTTCTTATATATCTTAATACATAAACCACCTAATAGTCACAGAGTCTTTGTTAATATGATGAATTAAAACCATGCTTCTTATTTTCTTAAGCTTTCCCTTGGATTATAGAGTAGAGGAAAGCCACCATTGAAAGGTAAGAAAAATAGTTTTTGGTTTTGTTTTGTTTTGTTTACGGTGCCTCCCTTGCCCCAAGCTTGCACAGATAATTCCCCTGAACCCACTGTTTCTATAGTGAAAAAAAGTGAGTTGGAGGCAGACTTTCAGTTTTGCCACAATTTTGGGACCCCCTCACAAGAGCTTCACTCTTGTCTTGTTCCACAGTAAACACTGAAACCACCAGCAGGGCTAGGACACCTGGGATCAATTAGAAACAGGTGGATTTTTGGGCCAGGCGCAGTGGCTCACGCCTGTAATCCCAGCACTTTGGGAGGCTGAGGCAGGCGGATCACCTGAGGTCAGGAGTTTGAGACCAGCCTGACCAACATAGAGAAACCCCGTCTCTACTAATAATGTGAAAATTAGCCAGGCGTGGTGGTGCATGCCTGTAATCTCAGCTACTCGGGAGGCCGAGGCAGGAGAATTGCTTGAACCTGGGAGGCGGAGGTTGCGGTGAGCCGAGATTGTGCCATTGCACTCCAGCCTGGGCAACAAGAGTGAAACTCCGTCTCAAACAAACAAACAAACAAAAATAAAAAAAGAAACAGGTGGATTTTAGTGGTTGTTCTGCATTCTGGCCAAAAAAGGCACTACACATCATGGTGCCTTCAAGTAGGCAGCAGCATCATGCTGCGGGAAACACTGCCCACGTGTTTTTCAAGTTTGAATCCCTAGTCGGCTAGTTAGCTTCCCCACACAGCCCATGTGCTTTTGATAGGTCTTCCCCAGGTCAAGAGACAACTATAGGTCAGCAATTACTCACAGAGAGAACATCTTCTGCCCAAGACTGCTGGCAAATACATTATCCATCTAAGTTCCAGTGCTCAGGTTGTCTTCCACGAGTCAAAAAGCAATGGCAGGTCAGCAGTGACCCAAGGAGGGCCTAAATACTGCCCACAATCTCTTTTCCTTATTTTATTCTCTTCCTTTTCTTTCCTCTTTCCCCCTCCCCTTCCCTTCCCTCCCCTTCTCCCTTCCCTTCCCCTTCCCTCCTCTTCCCTCCCCTTCCCTCCTCTTCCCTCCCCTTCCCTCCCCTTCCCTCCAGTTTCCTCCCTTTCCCTTCCCCTCCCTTCCCTTCCATTCCTTTCCCTTCCCATTTTCTCTTCATTTTTTCTTCCCTTTCATTAACTTTCTTCCCTCCCTCTCCTTTTTTCCTTCCCTTTTTAAAACAGTCAAACACAAGCAGTATTCAATTTGCTGAAAAATGTGTTGTGCCATGAATGATTTATATAAACCGAGAATCTATTCTGCAACAAATCCATTAAAATTAATTATATTCACCAATTGTTGACAAGTTAAAGTTTTACAGAGTCATTGCTAATAGAATGGATACAATTTTCATTTGTCTAGAAGAATGATGAACATTCTCTGCTCTCATCTCAACAGACAGACTGTTCTGTCAGTGGACTAGAAGAACAGAGGTTTCCAGAGAGAATAGAGATACAGTAGGCTCAGTATAAAAAAGCAAAACATTTGAAATTTGAAGGCTGTTTCAAGTAATCAAGTAACATCTTTATACAAATAAACTGCCCTTGAGGTAAATGAAATCAAATAAAGATGCAGAAATAATCATATGTGACCTAAAGGTTAAAGAAGTAATTGTATTACAAACTAGCACATGGAAAAAATAAATCTTAAAAAAACAGAGATACAGGAGGATATGGTTAGTAAAAACACCAAGTTCTAGCCACACTGGATGAGAATAAGATAACTTCCTTGGAGATGTAGAAGTGGATACTTTAACAACACATTGCATACCCAATATAATGTATTGTTTAGAAAAAGTCAATATATACTTTATACAGTTATTATTATATGAACATAATTAATCATCTTTATAATTCCTAGTGATAAAGAAACCCAATGAGTGTTTGGATATATAGTTAACAATATTAATATAAAAGTAGCTATTTTAACAAAAGTGTTAATTCTAAAATAGGAAAAACCAGGAAAGCTAATTACTGTCAGATTTCATCTGTATAAATTATCTCTGTCAGTCTTAGTCTATAACACATTTTCTCTCCTATTTATCTAAATATGATTACTTTTTCTGGGGCCTGGAAAATATTTTCAATTTTTTTTTTATGAAATCCTCCTATTTCAAAACAGACTGGGCTTGTGATATTAAGCAGGTGCCAGCAGTTTTTGAATTGAAGTATGGAGCTTACTGAAGAAGTGAGATACCTGACCTTTTGAATTGAGTCAAGCATGGACTGCTTACTACTCACCAAACCTTTTTGGGTTTTGTTTATTTTTAGTGATAAAAATTCTGGAACAACTTCAGAGGGCTGAAATTTTCAATGTTGTTTTAGCTCTCAACAAATAGATTTCATACAAGTTTCACTAACTCTTTCATCACTGCATTTTCTAGATTGTCTGAATTTTATGCTGCAGATCTTGAAGGACTCTCTGTGAGGCATCTGTTACTTAGTTATCTAGTTACCACAGACTCTCTTACTTTGTCTTCTCTAAACCAGTTCACAGACTGTAAAGGGAATACCAAAACTTGATATAAGTAGTGAATAAGTAGCATAGCCTTTATTCTCAATCTCCCTTTGCAAGTATCTGATAACAAACTTTTTTCCAGAATTCATATTTATTTGTAATTAGATTCCCTAATTCTATGAACACTATTAGAGATGTTAGCCTTCTGATATTTGACAACCAGGGCATTAAAACCACAGGCAATGCTGAAAATTTAGTAGCTGATTTTGGCAACATGAATGTTTTAGTCTCTCCCTAGATTGCAGAAATCTTAGGAGACTAATACTTAAAGACAGGATATTCACATCTGAGGGATAGATTCACTATACTTGCCCATGTCTCTTTCCATGAAAGATAGTATGAACATTTGCTCTTTTGTTTTACGTTCTTTAAAACTACTAACTGCCTTCTGATATATACACATTTGACTGTACATTTTCTAAAGTCAGTGGAAGTTTTCCAAAGTCAGTGGGCATGTGAATTAATATTCAAGGTACTATAAGCAATAATCACACCAGCTGTGGTATTTTATAATGCTATACAATCTACCATCTTCTCATGCTGCAGTGGAAGAATCCTAACTTCCAGCTACCATGAAATGACAATATAGTCAATAAGAATCTATTTCTAGTAAATCTCCTTCAAAGCATTACTAGATATTTTAGGCAGGATTGCTTTTAAAACAGAAACTCATTTTTAAAAGAGAAACTCATTAGCTCAAAAGGCAAGTAATTTTTATTCATGTGTGTATATGTGTATATAAATACATACAATGTATGTATACATAATAAATGATAATAAATGACATTAATACAGTTAAATTATTTTTAGCTGATTTAACAAAAGCTATATTATTTCTCACAAAAGCATATTTCTCTGCTCATTTTACAGTTGTGCTGAGAGCCACAGATTTAAGTAATTTTCTTATAACAGCCAAAAACTAGTTGGCAGAAGTGTGTGCGTGCTTATAATCACAATGCATTTGGAGAATGCCGTAGAATAAGATCACAATAAATGTACTTTATCTTCATTGGAAGAAGTATATCACCAAGCAGCTCATCTTTTAAGAATCTCATGGTCACATTTGCTTCTATGCTCTTGTCTCTACTATCCCTGTTGCTCTCTCCTCCCAAATCTATCATCTGTTTCATTCTACCTTTCTTTCCTAAATTCCTCTTGGTAGACAAGCTTCCCTTGGTAAAAAATTCTGCAATTTGACTTGTTTCTGTGTCTGACTTTATTAAACCAGCTTGTATATCTCATTTGCAAATTACCAAAATATAACTTAATCGTTTGAATTAGGTTCAGAGGGTGGTTGCTTGCATATGTGGGTTTTTGGTTCTATGAAAGTGGTGAAGTGGTCAATTCAAAAACTTTTTTAAGCTTTGAGTTTTGACATAGCTTTTCACATATTTTTGACCTGTAATGTAGTGAAAACCTGAAATAAAATAGTCAAATATCTTTATCTAAACAATTTGTATCAAATGTTTTAAAATTTTATAAATCTCATTTTTTTCTATCAATTATATCTAAACATGTATAGGCAAACAATAGTAAATGCTATATTTATTTTAATTCTCACTGTAGTATTATTAGTCATCTCATGCTAATATTTCTCTTCCACCTTCCCTAGAAACACTATTCTTTTCTTCAAAGTGTATCAGTATCTATACTTCCTTCATCTACCCCGTGTAGTGTTTGAAATGGAATAGGTATTACATTGACACTCTTGTCTGTTCTGCTACATTCAATTTTGCAGTAGTCAGAAATTTCTTAGAAAAATCTATCATTACTCTGAATTTATTTCATATAAAAACTCAAGAAATGTTCAAGCTGTTTATTTCAAAGACAGACACCCTAAATTAGGGCTGGGATATACATGTTCTCTTTTATTCAATATTCTGCTGGCATATGCTATGACAAGTAAATTTCCATTTTGAGGTTGATACTAAGCAGCTTCTAAGCAAGTAGCAGTAGTATTAGCAGCATAAGGAAAATGCAATGATCCCATTATCAATCCCTATGCTTCCAGTTTATTCTCTACCAAAATCAATCATTTTAACTGTTGCTATATAATCTTCCAAAATTTCCCTTTCATCATGTCATAGTACTGGCCAAAACCCTTCAGTTTTCAAAATTCATTGTCTCAAAGAAAAATAATAATGTGCTTTATAGGTTTTTCACTGTCAGTTTTCAAACTACCATTTCAACTTCATATATTAATATTCTAATATAAATGTTTTCAATACTAACTAAAGTGTTCTACTTGAAAACCTCACACTGAATTTTTCTGACTTTACACCTCTCCCTGAAATAATATCACTTGAGATGGTTTTCTGAAAGCCAAATCTTTTCTATTTCCAGATGGGAATTTCAGGAAATTTCAGAACAGTTGTCTTTTTTCTGAGTTCTCTTCTCCTGAGAAATCTGAAGCTGATTTTGTCATAAATTATATAACCTCTATTAATTTGTGTGTTAAATAATGATACTGTACATCTTTGTCTTAAAATGTCTCTAGTTTACAATGTAGGATTTGTGTGATTTAGTGTATATGGTACCAAATTATTAATGTTAAATATTTGAGGACACTCAAGCTTCAATAAATCCATTAAAACTCAATTATGCTGCAGTTATTAATGAGGTTACAATAGGCCAAAAACTCAGAAGATACAAATTGAGGGGCTAAACAAGTAATTGTAAATTTTTTCAAAATATTTTTCTTTTTAGTGTATTTCTCATCCTATATTTTATATATCTACACTTATTGTATATATAATGCAATATATTATACAAAAGTATTAAGTATATACTTAATACTTAATATATGATATACACTTATTGTGTTACTTTTATACAGAAAGTAAAATTAATAAAATTTAATTAATTTCTTTGAGAAAATATTGATTGTGACCAACACTAGTTTGGAAAAGAAAGAAAAAAAATGTACAGGTTTTAGCCATCAATATGCACAGACTTTGATATCATTTAGGTTTCATGAAAATAACACATTATCCTAGGTCAAGTTGCTTATTGTCTGTTTTTCAAGCATCGCAGAACTCCAGTGAAGCACAACTTTCAGGCAGTGCCCTGGCAGCTATACCAATGTCATGCTAGGCCAATCTACAATCCTACTTCATCCATCAAAATTACCTTGACCTTTTCCCAATAAAATGTCATAATCTTTCAATCTAAAATACTTCTGTTCTTAATTTACTTCTTTTATAGTATAATGTAATACATATATAATGTGTGTGTGTGTGTATATATATATACACACACATTTTTTTTTTTTTGAGACTGAGTTTCACTCTTGTTATCCAGGCTGGAGTGCAGTGGCGTGACCTTGGCTCACTGCAACCTCTGCCTCCCAGTTTCAAGCGATTCTCCTGCCTCAACCTCCCTAGTAGCTGGGATTACAAGCTTGTGCCACCACACCCGGCTAATTTTTGTATTTTTAATAGAGACGGGGTTTCACCATATTGGCCAGGTTGGTCTCGAACGCCTGACCTCAGGTGATCTGCCCACTGTGCCCCACCAATATGTGTATTTTTTATTTCTACATACATATTATATGTTGACTCTAGGCATCTTGCCTAGAGTTGGGATGAGAAGAGTTTGGAATCTCTCTTTTACTGCCTCTACAATATTAGAAAATTATTCTGTATTTCTCTTCTTTTCTCCTAAATATAAAAGTGTAGGATTTAATATTTTGCTTTTTGTTTTCTTCAACATTTATTTTAAGTTCAGGGCTATATGCACAGGTTTAGTTATATAGGTAAATGTGTCCCGTGGTGGTTTGCTGCACAAATCATCCCATTTCCTAGGTATTAATCCCAGCATCCATGAGCTATTCTTCCTGATGTTCTCCCTGCCCCCACCTCCAATATGTAGTAGTTGTACTTCTATATGAGGCATAATGAATATATGTGTGGGAAAGGCAGGGTTTCTACCTTAAAGGTCTTAAACTCTAATAAAAGAATCCAATGGCTAAACAAAAACCTCAGTGTCTTATATGCAACTAGAGAAGGAAATACAAAAACATAGACTTTTGCAACTACTCAGTCTCATAAGGTTGCAGTTGGAGGTTGGGGGTGTGTGCAAATAAAAACGGCAAAAAATAATGGTAATTAGAATTCATTGAATGTTTACTATAGGACAGAGCACATTATTCAATTTGATCCACAAAACAAAATGTTAGGTATTTGGCATTACAATTGGGTTATTGAAGACTTAGAAAAGTTCAAATAATTGGCTTGGAGCCTGTTATGTATAGCTATTATGGTATGTCCTATCCCACCAAAGTTATAAATTATCTTTAAGCTGAGGTCAGAAGGATAAATCCAAGATAGGAAAAACAAAAGATGGAGCAGGAGAAGACTCCATGCAGAAATAATGTTATGCTTAAAGACCAGAAGCAAGGATAACATAATACATTCCAAAACGTGTTTCAGGATCAGTTGTATGAAGATTAGAGTGAGACATAGCCTAGTTTTTAGGCATCACATTATAATATTTTAATTTTCAATACAAAATTTTAAAAGCAGTGACAGTCATAAGGAGCTAGTAAAGGTTTTAAGACAAGGATATATTATACAGTTTGTGTATAGAATGTTCATTCTACTGGCAATGTGAAAAATAAATTTTAGGAACTTCCAGCTCTAATGATGATAGCTTAAATTACTTATATCAAACTGAGGTAAAAAAAAATTCCAGAGAAATTTTTGAAAAATAGCCTAAAAATACTGAAGAGATTTAAACATTTGGAAATATTCACACAAAGCTGTGGATAAAAGCCTGCATTCACAAAGGTAAGTAGAGTATTAAGGCATCACATTTTTTAAAAATTGGATGGCATCTTTTTCTTACCATACACTAAGAGTTAAGATTCAAAAAGTTGCAGAGTTAGGAGGAAAAAGTCAAAACCAGAAAACTTCCCCAAATAGGGAGTCTATAGCCATATTATGCAGATACCTCTAATGTCTACACACCTTCTGGATAATAGCAAAGCAGAAATAGATCATCCTACACTACCCACAATCCAGTTGAGATGCTGCTGATTAGAACAGAACAACCATAACAAATTTAAAAATGGGAGAAACTTCTGGTAAACTATTACTCTGTATTATGAAAGTACAAATTCCTACTCTTGATACACAAGACCTGGGTTAATCAGGGAATCTCAAGCAAGAAATTTGCATTATATTGGTTTCTGTCTGGGGTGCAAAAGGAGGCAAAGCAACTTGACAATGTGGTGTTGAGAGAATAGTCCTATCCACACTTTGTATATTTGGATTATCAAATTATGTAGTAACATAAAAATAAAACAAACTATGGGTAATTATAATAACCTTTATGAGGATTTATTGAGAGATTTTAAGAAGACAAATTAATGGGAATGTGTGCTATGGTTATGAATTAGAAGAACCAATACATAAATCTATAATTGTATGCACAATTATTAATACATTCAGTGCATTGTTAATACAAATTTCAGCATTTTTCCTATAAATAAATAAAGTAAAATGTATGTAAAAACATGAAGAAAACCCAAGACATTCTTGATGATAAAGAACACTGTGGAAAAAGAAATTATGCTACCAGATATAGAGATTTACTATAAAGCAAAATGAGTAATACTCTGTTGTTTGGGCGGAAACATAGATAAATAAATGCATGGAAGAGAAAAGAGTCTCAAAACAAACCTGTGACATATGGTAGTTTTATGTAGAACCGGCATGTTATTCCAAATCAATGTAGGAAACAGAGGCGTTTTTCTGTAGTGGAGCTTAGTACTACTACAGCAGCATAACAATTTTATAGATAAAATAAATACCTAATGGCTTTAGGTAGCATATTAACAAATATAATAGTTGAAAGGAAGATAAATGTACAAAGAAAACTCAAAAACATAAAGTAAACTAAAAGTAAACAAGGAAAGTAAAGTATGACCCTTATGAAACCAAAGGCTAAAAAAAAATCAAGTATTTAGGAATGGTAAACACTGTCAAAATTAAAAAAAAAAACTTTCGGGAACATCAATAAAAGATAATCAAACATAATATTGATGAAATCTTTCTCAGTGTAATGGTGAACTTTTTACGGATTTGAGGAATTAACTTATTGTGAAGAATACCTAGGGACAAAATATTCCTTTTTGCACTACGAACAAACAAGGAGAATACTTAATGAAACAGGTAAAGATGGTTTTCCCGAGGTTCAGAATTTTCTAAAAAGAAAATTTATTATTTGGGTAGCCAAACTCAACCTTGGTACTCTGGCCTCTGCCATGGAGAATGCTTTCCCTACTCCAAACTCTACAAATACCAAAGCATTAAGCCTTGCCTCTTCTACCTTGAATACTTTACAAGCTAACTATTTGGTACCTTCAGGAATAAACAAATTCAAAAATAAACATAATAGGCCTGGCGTGGTGGCTCAGGCCTGTAATCCCAGCAATTTGGGAGGCCGGGGCGGGCGGATCACCTGGGGTCGGGAGTTTGAGACCAGCCTGACCAACATGGAGAAACCCCGTCTCTACTAAAAGTACAAAATTACCCGGGCATGGTGGCACATGCCTGTAATCCCAGCTACTAGGGAGGCTGAGGCAGGAGAATCGCTTGAACCTGGGAGGCAGAAGTTGCAGTGAGCCGAAATCGTGCCATTGCACTCTAGCCTGGGCAACAAGAGCGAAACTCCGTCTCAAAATAAACAAACAAACAAACAAACATAATAGCATCATAAATAAGAAGAATATATAAAAATAAACATCTGTAGCAGATAAACCAGGGCACTATGACAGTATAAATACATGAAAATATTAAATTAACAATAACACCTCAAATGGATGATATGGCATGATTACATCATGAAGCAGGAAGAACTAGTAATAAAGAAGACTGTGGAAATATTGAAACTGGCCCAATTCTCCCATAGAATTGATGTTCATGATTTCTTTGGAATAAATGTGGAAATTGACCCTCTCAGTCTTTAGACTTGTGAAAGTTATGATTGTCTTATCTGAGTTATTTTCTCAGGAAACTAACCTTTAGTCTTCCCAAATAGTATCACAGACCTAAAGCACACCAGATTACTGCATCTGGATAATGAAAAACCAGACCCCTCACCAGTCATGATTGTCTAACCCACCACTGGCTTCCTGTTCACCAATACCTTTTCCTTACCTGTCCCTAATTCCTGTTTTCCTGCATGTGGCTACAGTTCTTCCTGCTATATAAACCCCTGATTTTAGTCAGTTAGGGAGGTGGATTTGAGACTGGTCTCCCATCTCCTCAACTGCATCACCATATTAAAGCCTGCTTCCCTGGCAAAACTTATTGTCCCAGCGACTGGCTTCCTGTGTGGCAAGCAGCAGGACCTAGACTGAATCTCTGGCACTTGGTTAACAATATTAGTTTAAAAAAATAGTGAAGTAAATAAATAATTCAATAGATGAGGGAATAACAAAACTAATGCTATTTAATAATATGGATTGGACTCAAAATTTATTAAAGAAATTCTTTCAGAAAACACATGACAAAGGGATGACATAATAAAATTATTTGATATAAAGATGTATTATTGTTAAGAAAGTCTAGGTGTATAAGAAGAACAGAGAAAATCAAATATTAATATGGAGAATTGCAAAGAATAATAGAAACATAAAAGACTTGTGGTTGAAAGGAATCCCAAAATTTCAAACAGAATAGTTAAAATAAAATTCACACATAGTACAATAATAAGATCAGCAAGAAAAAGTTCTTTACAAAAGTTATTGAAGTTCATAGATTTTTACAAGGTAAACAATGTCAAATTAAGATAAATAGTCAAAGAACTGACAAGAAGACCAAAAAATAAGCACTATTTTCTAAGTTCTGAAAAAAAATAATTTTGAATTACAAATGCATGTCTTACCAATTTATTATTAAAACATGAACACCAAATGCATATGCTTTCCAGCATAAAGCTTTAAAAAGTTTACTAAAGTCTATCTTTGTAAAGATTCTTGGTAGATATACCAAAACAAAACAAAACAAAACCAACAACAAAAATAAACTATTGAAAGAGAAGACTACATATTTAAATGAGAAATAAAAATAAGTAAATATTTAGTAAAAAGACTCTAATGTTGGATAAACTTCTTCAGTACCAATTAAGTAATGAAGGAAAAACAGTCAACTAAACAAAGTAGAATTTAAAAGACAAAATAAACTCCAGGCACAGAAAAGATTAAAATGAAAAGGAATGTTAGAAGAATTATACATTAAATTTGGATCTTAGTTAGAGATAACTACTTGAAAAAAATAAAAATAAAAATCATGATTTTTAAACTCTAGTAGGTAGACTTTAAGATGGTCATCATGATCCTTTTCTCTGGTGTTCAAATTTATATGAAAGATATACCCTTGAGTGTGTCTGGGCCCTCTGACTTGCTTCTAACAAATAAAGTAAGACGAACATGATGGGACGTCATGCCCATGATTATGTCATGTTGTTTAAGACTTTGTCTTGTTAGAAAACTCACTCTAGAGATTCTCTTTACAGGCTGGATGCTTTAGACTGAATGTTTTTGCTCCCCCAGAATTTGTATGTTGAATTCCTAACCACCAGTGTGGCTGTATTTGGAGATGAGCTTCCTTGCAGAGCTGTGGGGAAGACTCTGCTACCCCTGTGGTCCTTGAGGGCAGTGCAGCAAATGAAAGATGAGACATCTTTAGCCTTAAGATCTAATGGAATTTGCCTTGCTAGGTTTTGGACTTGGTTGGAAAATATTACCCCCTCTTTCCTTCTGATTTTTCCTTTTTAGAACAGGAATTACTATTCTTTGCCTGTCCCAACACTGTATTTTAGAAGCACATAATTTCTCTCATTTCATAGGTTTACATATTAAGAGGAATGTCATCTGAAGATAAATCATAGTTCAAGTCTCATGCATGTCTGATATCGATAAAATTTAGATGAGACTTTAGACTTTAAGGTCAGAGAGTTAGTACTAAAATGTGTTGAGACTTTTGGGACTATTTGGATGAAATAAATGTATTTTACATGTAAGAAAAACATAGTTTTTGGGGAGCCAGGGGTGTAATGTTATGAACTGAATATATACGTCCCTCCAAAATTTATATGTTGAAGCTTTACTAAGCCCCAGTGTGGCTGTATTTAGAGGTGAGGACCCTAGGAAGTAATTAAGATTAAATGAGGTAAAAGGGCATGACCCTAATCTGATAGGACTGGAGTTTTCATAAGAAGAGACATCAAAGAGCACTTTCTCTCTCCCCAGCGCAACAACCTCTTGTGCACATTCATTCTACAAGGAAAGACCAAGTGAGGACACGGAGAGAAAGCAACCATCTTCATGCCAGGAAGTGAGCCCTCACCCTGCCAGATATTGATCTGGGATTTCTAGCCTCCAAAGCATATATATATATATGTATGTGTGTGTGTGTATATATATGTATGTGTATATATATACACACATATATATGTATATATATGTGTATGTATATACATATATATGTATATATGTATGTGTATGTATATACTATATATGTGTATATATGTATGTATGTGTATATACGTATGTGTATATATATACATATATGTGTGTGTATGTATATATATATACACATATATATGTGTGTGTGTGTGTGTGTGTGTGTATATATATATATATATATATATATATATATATATATTCTGTTGTTTAAGCCATGCAGTCTACAATATTTTGTTATGGCAGTCGAAACAGATTAATACACTGAATGAAAAAAAAAGTAGGTATTCTGAGCAAAGCCCACGTGGCAAGGAACTGCAGACAACTTCCAGGAGGTGACAGCAGTTTAATCCAACAGTCAGAAAGAAACCAGGGCCCCCAGTTTTACTACTGCAAGAAAATGAATTGCACTAGTGAACTAAATGGTTTTGGAAGAAGATTCTTTCTTAGTCAAACCTCCAGGTGAAAATACAATTTGGCCATTACTTGGATTACAGTTTTGACAGATACTGTCAGAAGATGCAGCAAAGCCATGCCAAAGCATCTGGCCCACAGCAACTAAGAAACAATAATGTGACTTGCAGTAAATGCTAAGTTTGTGATAATTTATTACATAAGAATTGATAATACTATAATAAAATCTAATTAATTTATGTAATTTAACTCATAAAAAATAAATCATTCATGAATGGTAAATAAATAATGCAAGTGTATTTGTAGAAAATAAGTATTAATATGTGACTTAATTACTCTGTGTTTGTGTGTGCTAAGCTTACCAATGTAAAAACAGATTCCAAAATTAAACTTAAATATATCTATAAAATATATAGTTATATAAATTTAAAATAAAACACTAAAACTAGAGACATGAAAAAATGATATCAGTGAAAATGGTAGAATAGATAGCTCTAAGGTCTTTTCCCTTCACAGAATAATCCAAAAATGAGCCCAAAACTGTCAGAATAAAGTTTGTTATAATTGCGAAGAACAGTCCAAAATTTAAGCAACCAAATGAATGCTGAATCAAGGAAAAGACAGCTTAATATGGAAGAAAAACTTAGGCACTTTACCTGCTTTTTCTCCACCTTCTTCTTTTGCTCAGCAATTATCTTGAAGATGACAGCATGTTTCCAGTGTGGAATGCCGGTCCCTGGTTCTGTACAGCAGAACTTATACTCAAAGAATTGCATTTGTCTGTTCTAGCCTGCCTGGGGACTTCTTGAAGGACTAATGCAAGACAGTCATCTTTGATTGGCCTAACTCAATATTCACTCCAATTATAAAAGTGGCAGGTATTACTTGAAAACATTTTAAGGCAAGCTAACCAACTGCTGTTGCCTGGGGCAAAATATTACAGTTGAGGTACAAAAAATAGTGCACCTAAAGCATAGGAGGAAATCCTAGAAACAGAGAGTTTCTTTGGGAAACTAGCATTCAAAAGTTTATATGTATAGTGGGGAAGCTAGAAAGTCACATGCTTGCCCCGGGTAGGGGCTATGATTAGAACATGCATAAAAACACTTAAGTTTCATTTCTGGCTATTACATAGATTCAGAGCAAGCAGAAAATAAAGATAAGATATAAAAATATAATTAATAGTCTGGATAAGTGTTAAAGAAATGCCCAGCACAGAATTAATCAGCAAAGACTGGAAGATTTTGTTTACTTCTTTCCTTTTTCTTTTTTCTCTCTCTCTTTTTTTCCTTTCTTTGCTTCCTGGTATTCAAGAAAATCTCTGTGAAAACACTAGCTGAACACAAGCTAAAGGAACATAAATTTCTGGGACCAAACATGAAGGAAAAAACTACAAAAAGAGTTTATAAAGGTGACTAAACAAACAAAAAGCTACAGCCCACAGCAAAGATGGGTAATAATATAATATCCAAATTACCACATTATAATATTCAAAATCTCCAGTTTTTAACAAAAAAATGCAAAGCATGAGAATAAACAAGAACCTATGACCCAGTTAGAGAAGAAATTTATAGAGAATGTACCTTCAAAAAGCAGTCATTGAACTTTCTAGACAAAGACATTAAATCTATTACCTTAAATATGTTCAAGAGTTAAATAAAACCAGAAGATAGTATAAGAAAATATAAACAAAATTATGATAAGTACATAAAAGGGGATAACATAAAAATTTTGGAATTAAAAAGAATAATAACTAAAATGAAAAACTCACTGGTTAGGTTTAACGGCAAATTTGAGCAGGACATAAAACATAGCAGTGAATTTGAAAATAGGTAAACTGAAGTTATGCACTGTGAGAAAAAAATTAAAAAAAAATGAATGAAGAAAAATGAACAGAGATAAGAGCTATAACAGATATCACCAAGCACAACAACACATGCATAATGGAATTCAAGAGGGCAGGAAGAAAGAAAGGAGCAGAAAAAAAAAGACTTGAAGAAATGACAATAAAAAAACTTCCCAAATCTGACAAAAGGAAAATATCTACACATTTAAGAAAATTATTCAAAGTGTAAATTCAAAGCAAACCACTCTGAGACACATTATAGTCAAATTGTCAAAAACCAAAAAAGTTGTTGAAAGCAGCAAGAGAAAAAATTCATTCCATTCAAAGGACACACAATAAGATTAATAAGTAATCTGAGAAGCAGATTTTTCATCAGAAACCATAGGGAGGCCATAGGGAGTAGGATGACTTTTTTTTTAAAGTGCTAATAGAGATAACTGTCAACCAAGAATTCTACATCCTTCAAAAATAGCCTTCAAAAATAAATGAGACATTAAAGCATTACCATCCAGGTCCAAGTCTGCTCTGCCCATGTACAGTAAATCAACTACTGTGACATGGGTATTGCAAAAGAGAGTTTTATTCACAAAACCACTGAGTGAGGAGGCAGGAAAACAGCTCTCAAATCCACCTCCAGAAGATAAGACTTAGGGATGCCTATGTGTTAGGGAAGTGGTGTGGGGAAAGGTGATTGGCAGCGGAGAAAAATAAAGTATCAGGTTTGTTCTACGCAAGCATAGTCAGAGTTCATGACATTTCAAAGGAAATATGTCCAGAAATTGGCAACATTAGCATGATCTGAAGGTGAAGTTTTTGGCCCTCCAATGCCAAAAGGCCACCTGTGCAAACCCAGTTGAAGGGTCCGTGGTCTCAACCAGTTTGAACCGGCCAGAAGTTGGACCAAGTTCCTGAAAGACAACTGACAACATGGTGACCTATGATTGTTTTCTATAAAGTAACCAGTGAAAATTAAGTTTCAGTTTTAAG
The DNA here is from genome assembly GCF_000001405.40 of Homo sapiens. NCBI lineage: Eukaryota > Metazoa > Chordata > Mammalia > Primates > Hominidae > Homo > Homo sapiens. The sequence continues at coordinate 88,552,744 of NC_000013.11, read as the reverse complement.
CAGTGAAAGCTTCAGCTACTTCAGTATTCAGCATCATGGAAAAAAGACAAAAATAATAATAACAACAAGCAAGCAATCTAAAGCAAGCAGGGCAGGCAGACTTGATCAAATTAACCCTTCAGTTTCCAAAGTATTCCCCATTTTTAAAAAATAAATAAATAAAAGCTGAAAGAGTTAACACTGGTAGACCCACACTACAAGAAATGCTAAAATATTTTAGGCTGAAATAAAAAGACACTATGTAATAACTGTAAGCAATATAAAAAACATAAAGAACTCTACTTGTACACAGGTAAAAGTAAAAGCCAGTATTATTGTATTTTTATTGGAACTTCTTTTTTTATTTCCTATATAATTTAAAAGTCAAAAGCATAAAACAATAATTTAGTATTTCAGTAATGGTCATACAATGTACAGTTGACCCCTAAATAATATATTTTGGACTATATGGGTCCACTTATACATACATTTTTTTCAATAAATATATTGGGAAATATTTTGGAGATTTGCAACAATTTGAAAAAAATGTGTGCATTTAAAAATTGTACCTACTTATTCTTATGACTTAGTACTTTTGGGAATTTTATCTATAGAAACCTTTCGAGACATGTTGACTGAGCATTTCTTCTGGAAGGATTTGTGTTTGCTTCTGTCAGTTACCTCACAATATTTAGACCTATTTTCATGCTGTTTCAAAAAGCATGTGGTCTGAGATAACTTGAGATTCAATAATCAAATCACGTGAGACTCTGACAATAGTAATATATTCTCAAGGGAGGCATTTTTTAAAAATTCTACACCCAAAGCTAGGGATGAAGCAGAACATTTCTCTGGCTGTTCAGCCTTTATGGTGGAATTTCTTTTTCCTAATTCATTATTTTCCCAAGAGGTAAGATTGCTTTGGAAATCAATATACATAACATGGTCTTGAATCCAATTCCCACTCTACATAGACCATGGTACTGTATTTCTAGACCATCATCATCTATTTATGCCCCTTAGTATCTAAAAGCTTCAGAATTTATTGTATTCTTTGGACTTAAAGAGCTTCGCTCCTTTCTTTAGTGGATTTGTATATTGTCTTTAGGCTCTCTAACAATATATAAAATCATAACTATTATATTTAACATACTCTTGTATAAAATAGCAGAAGAATATGAGCATCTCTTTCATCTTACTGAAAGCAGAGGCTGATGGTATTCTATATAAGTAAAAACTGATTAAAATAAAATATGAATTATATTTTATCATGAATATGTCCACCACCACTCAAATATTCAGTTGGTGAAAACTGAATTCTGTATTTTGCATTGGCATTCATACAATAGAATATGCTGCATATTGTACGTGTTTTATAGTAGCTTTTAAATGGACTTCAAAAATTAGTATAGTTCTATGGAATTTCATTGGGAATGTAGTTTGACTTGGCCAATTGATCAACAATGCTTCTTGTAAGATATGTTTCTGCATGAGGTTCATATTCATTTCGTGAAAATTAGCATATCTTACTAAATAGATATATGACAAATGGCTAATATTAATCTCCCTGAAATGTACACATAGGTGTAGCATAATTACCATAGGATGTAGTTAACATCTTGTTCTAAAATATGTAAATTGTCAATACAGGAATACACAAGAAAATTCTATGATCCAACATGTCTTTAAAACACGTCATTTCCCAAATTTATTCTTCTGCATTTGTTAGTTAAGAGCATATGTTCTGCTTTCTTAATAGAACCTCAGTAAGCAATTGCAACAGGTAATAACCCAAATGTAAACAATGCTATGATATTGTCTAAATGTTATTACTTCTGAAGAAATTTAAATATCAATGATATATAATATAAATATAATCATATAAATATGTAAATATATTTATATTAAAGAAGTAGTTTATTTTTAGATAAAGTGAGATTTTATTTAGACACCAACAAGAACTTGTCGTTGTTATACCAACAAGTTTCAATGCTTCATATAACTAAATGATTATTGACAGTTAAAACAGTCCTTTCCTCCACTAAATAATCTCATGATAATTTAGGTATATTTTTAAAAATACATTTTTGTGTTCATTTTCCTAAATAATATAATGCTGTTTTACACCTGAAAATCATCTGTAATATCCATTTCACAATTGGATAATGAAGACCATCTTCCAACGTACTGTGCAGACTCTAATTTTGATTATATGTTTTTATTTATGAGCATTTATTAAACAAACATATTTTATTTATTTCTCTATAATTTTTATTCTCTGAATTTCGTGGTTTTATTTTGTAATTTTTCAGAATTATTTCATAATTTTATTTCTGTTTTTTCAATTATGAGTATTACCAGTTATATTATTATTTCCTCAAAACTTTGTTTTATTATTGAAACAACAAATTTTAAAATATTTTCATCTGTAGCTCAGAGTGCTTTTTGTTAGTTTTACTTCTTGTTAATATTACTAAATAATAATATTTTAACTTAAGATGCAACAAGTTAACACTTTTGTCTTTAAATATAACTAGCAGAGCTTAATTGAGTTATAGTTTAACTCACCCATGAATATGTTCTTATTTTCTTTCTGTATTTTAAATATGTTCTAGACTTATTCTGCCACAGGTATTGCAATAGTTATTATTTCAGATTTATCTTTGTTCATTATATGTTTAAGGTATTATAAAATTATCACAACTTTCATCCCGAGTTTATTTATTCAACATATGTTTATTGCCTGATAATATGCCAGGCACTGTTAAAAAGACTGAGGTTATGTTGAAGAGTAATCAAGGTGTAGACATGAGCAGTGACTAAAGAATACAGTTACTGGGGTGTTCAGAGGAAATCAAATGCTTAAGTGCAAACATAAATCTAAGAAAACTCTTCATTTACTTTTATTTTAATTTAGAAAGCATCAATTTCCTCCAAGTATAGTGACATGGTTTTAATAAACTGATATAGAAATAGTTTGGTTAGTTTAATTAGGTTGAATAAAATGTTAAAAGCACTGCACCTCAGTTTTGCTGCCTAATAGCACGATATAACTTTTGCAATATTTCCTAAATTATTCCATAACATAATAGTTAACATTTAGATATCCAAGAGGACTACCATCTCTATCTTTTAGCTTCCAGTCCTTTTTTATGTTCAAAAATATGACACGGTTTACGGCAGTCTATGTGGTTGAAGAGTGAAAGTTTATGCACCATTTGCTGCTAATGACACCAGACAGGTCAGATGTTTTCCACTTTTATTTGCATGGAAAAACGAACACTAGAATGTAGAATAATAAATACATATACCCCTTGAGATTGCATTTTTAAATTACTATGAAGTTCCCTATATGTAAATCAATAAACAATATTTTTAAGAATGTATATTTAACTGTGAGCCATCTGTAGATTAAAAACATTATTTTAAATACATCAATGTATATGCTCCATTGTTGCTTTATTCAGGGTAAAATTAAGAAATCTGTGGGGTAGTATATTTACAATCTGGAGAACTTTTTTTTTTAAATCAGCCATTTAGAACTAAATATAGTCATTAAAAAGGCAAATCAAACTAATGTAGTCAATATAGTAATGCCTATTCTATTTAAATGAGCAATTATTTTAGATTTTCATTGTAGTATAATTTTTACATAGGATCATCTAAATCATCAATATTAAAAATAAATATAGTTACTTCAATAATATTTAAGTAACTAATAAAAAAACTAAGTTATTCTAAAATCAGAAATCATATCTGCAATTCCAATATAGTGTGAATAACATCCAGTTTGTGCAGTAGAATTCAAATAACCACTATGAAGACTTTAAAATTTTATGACTCAGAAAAACTATTTGAATAAATATTTCATTTTTCCAATGAGTTTCTTTAATATCTTGTAGGCATTAGATAAGAGACGTTCCTATTCTTGTTTTGTCTGAATTTAACACTACTTTAAATTTCTTTGCATTGGATTAGCAGTGATTATGAAATTATATAACCAACTTTTCCTGCTATAGTACTTATATATATTTTAATGTCAATCATTTGAAGCACAGCAGGTAACTATACCTTACTGAGTCTTATTGTTGAATACTTAAATATTTTACAACTAAACAAAATATCAATCTCTCTTTTAAAATTCTTAGCATAATGTAAACAAATTTGGACATATTATATTTACTCAGACAGGAAGTACACCTTTAAAAAGCATAAAATATGGATCACCTTTCTCTTAAGATATGAGTAGAATTTTTATGAAGATTGAGCCATTTTATATGTTGATTTTTTGCAGAAAATAAATTCAAATTGGTCTCTGTAATCCTCTATTTACTGGGGATACTTTCTTTTTTAAAATATTAGTATTCTGAATGCCAAATAATAACACTACTGATGTTTTGGGAAGTTTTATAAAGAATATTTATTTATGTCTTGACTTAGCAAAATACTTACCACTCAATCTAAATTTTAGGCTACTCTGGAGACAAGAAAGAATGATGGAGTTTTGTTTCCCTTATACTCAGCATCAAGAAATCCTGGCCATTACATATACAATGTCATTATGTTATATCACATCATGTCATAGCATATCATATCCAGAGCACACGTGTTAATTTCCTGGGGATGTCATAACCATGTACCACAAACCCAATTGTTTAAAACAACACAAATTAATTATCTCAACGTTCTGGATTTTAGAAGTTTTTTATCACATTTCACCTGAACCATAATCTCTCTGAAGTCTCTAGGGAGGGATCCTTCCTTGATTCTTTCTAGCTTGTGTGAATGGCTTGCAATCGTAGTTGTTCCTTGGCTTCAACTGGTATCATTCTAATCTCTGCCTTTATTGTCACATGGACTTCTTTCTCCTCTTTCTCCTTCCTCTATATCTCTATGTTTCTGTCTCTCTCTGTAGTCACCCTCTCTTTATAAGGACTTTAGGTGCTGAATTTAGGGTCCACTCTAATTCAATATTATATCATCTTAACTTTATTACATCTGGCAAAGACTCTATTTTCAAAGAGAGTCATATTCACAAACTCCCACTGAGCAAGATTTTTTGGAGGACCCTATTCAACCCAGTAGATCACATCATATCGTATCATATTATATCTTATAATTTTGTATCATATGATATGAAAGAGATTTTTAAGCAATTCTTGCTTTATTAAAGTGATGAGCAGGTAAACGGTAAGGAACAGGTGTAGGGTTACCTATATGTCACTACTTCAACCTCAGCATTAGTGGCATTTTGGATTGGATGATCCTTCATTGTGCAGAGGTATTTTGTGCTTTGGAGGATGTTTGGCCACATCCCTTGCCTCTATACACTATAATCCAGTACCCACTGGTGAGTTATGACAATCGAAAATATCTCCGGATATTGCTAAATGTACCCTGAAGGTACGATCACCGGTAGTTGAGAACTAGGATTAAAAAACCTTAGATCGTTTCCTCATTTTGCTTATTGGAACCCATTTTACTATTGACTCTTATTCGGACCATTATTCCACAGGAAATCTTGTTTATTTCTTCTTCTGGGCTTATTGTTACTTTGGCATAATCTCTCTTAACTATTTAAACCAGGTCAAAAGAGCATGACTTCTTAAAATTTTACTATGCTCCATAAATTAAGATTTCCTATGTCACCTGCTCTATCAAGACATTTGTGATACTTAAGACAACTAAACTGAAAAGAAAAAGTTCAGAAGAATAATATGTGAAGCTAAAACAAAAAAATTGTTAATATAAATGAGAAACAAAACTATGTATGCCACATGACCATGTTGTTCTGGCTCCAAATTATTTTATTTCATCCTGGCTCCTTGAGGAGACAAATGATCAAGGGTTTGATGGTAATGAGTGGAGTCAGAAAAATGAACTTAGGAAATTTGAATTTCTACCAGTCTTGCCTTTAGTGATGTGCCTGGCCTTGAAAGCCCAGTTTGGCAAGACAGAGCACCTGTTTCTCTGGAGTTGGATGAACATGTCAATTGTCTTTATGTGTTTAACTATTCTTCAAATCTTTCTCACTTTTTATTTTTTTCTAATTTTATTGCCAACCATTTCATACAACTGCCGCATCTTTCATTTAGGTATAGTACTGTTTTCATCTTATTTGAAACAGTAACATCTTTCTATAACCAAATGACATGAGGCAAATATTTAACATGTTATGATGCTTACTATGGTCTGAATGTTTGTATCTCTACGAAATTTACATGTTGAAATCCAGGATTTCAACAAATGAATGGGTTTCATTCACATGAATTAAAAAATTCATATATTATTAGGAGGTGAGGCCTTTTGGGATATGATTAGTTCATGAGACTAATATCACCACGAATGGTGTTAGTATCCTTATAAAATATGCCAAAGGGAGCTCATCTGCCCCTTTTGCCATAAGAAGACACATTAAGAAGGTACCATCTATGAACTAGAAAGTGGCCCCTCACCAGACTCCCAATCTGTAAGTGATCTTGGACTCCCCAGCCCCCAGAACTGTGATCAATAAATATCTATTGTTTATAAACTACCCAGTCCAGTTTATGGAATTGTTATAGCAGACCAAACAAGCCAAGGTAATGCTTCATGGTCCATTTGTATTCACTGTGTGGTTTATATGATTTATATTTTTAAAAGGCTGTCTAAATTATAATTTACTAAAAGCAGTTCTCTGACAAACATCCAAAGTCCTCTTTCCCTAGCCATCAACAACCTAGAACTATGCATTTCCCATAGAAAGAATTAATCTTAAGGCCTGTATTAGCATGAATTAACAATTGAAGAAATGTTCAATATTCCTTATTTGCTAGGCCACAGAAACAAAGGTATCTGACACAGACAACCTTTTAGACATTTATCCCATCATAATTTTCCATCCACAATACCTGAATTGTTTTTGTTTATGTCACAGCATTGGTTCAATCTGCTATAACAGAATAGAATAGACTAAATGCCTTAAACAACAAAAATTTATTGCTCACAGTTCTGGAGGCTAGGAGTCTGAGATCCGTGTGGCAACATGAGTGGATCCTTGGTGAAGGTCAACTTCTTAGTTTACAACATCCATCTACTCGCTGCATCCTCATATAGTGAAGAAAGATCTCTTGTCTCTTCTCTGTTTTTAAGGACTTGAATCCCATAATGAGGGCTTTACCTTTCAAAAGCCCCACCTCCTAATGTCATCATACTGGGGGTTAGAACTTGAACATATAAATTTTGGAGGGATACAAACATGGAATCAATAAAGGTTATACATGAGCAGTCGCTGTATTTGACCCAACAAAACTTGTCACTCATTCTCTGAAACAGGTTTTATGTTTTGCTCTTCTTCCACCCTGTTCACAGTGCTTCAGACCCAGTTTGTAGTACCTTTCTTGGTCTAGGCTCATTCCCTTGGTGATGTCCTCTTGTATTATTGCTTTAAATAAATGACAAAAAACACAAATCATATCTCTATATCAGAGATCTCTTATAAATTCCATCCTCATACCTACAACTGCCTACCTGACACCTTTGCTTGAATGTCTGATGCACATCTCAAACATGACACTAAACCTCTGTCTTTCCCCGCTCAGACCTGCACCATCTTTGGTATTAATTGTGTTCCTCCCATTGCTCATAAAATACTTGGGGTTATTCTTCACATGTTTTTTGTTTTACACCTTACATTCTGTAGATCAACAAGTCCTGTTGGCCAGATTTCAAGAATACACATATGTGAATCACTTTTTATGACATGCTAATAACACCATGGTCTGAGTCATCAGCATCCCTCTCATTCATTAGTAAAATGGCCTCCTATTTAATGTCTCTGTTTCTATTATTACATCTTCAATCCATTCTTCAGACATAATCCAAAGGGATTTGTAGTGAAATATATTTTGGAACTTGCTATTTCTCTGTTTAAAGCCCTGAAGTGGCTTCCTATGTGGTCCTACATAGAACTACCACATCTTATCTGAGTTTGAGTTACATCTTAAAATTGCCTTTGCCTGGATAGATTAAATTTTGTATCTTCAAGATATGATCAGAGTTTGTTTCTCCAAGTCATCAAGTGGCACTAACAATGTGAGAACACTTAAATTATATTCTCTACATAAGCTTTTTGGGGTACCATATTTGTCACGTGGATTGAAATCTTAAATCTAAATGAGCATAAGCCTATGGTTCAAATATTCAAGTGAGTTTTTTTTCCCTTGTTTTATCTTTTGCCAAGATAGAGACAGCTAAGTTTCCTTGCTATAATTTTCAGTTTTTTCGCCTTTACTTTGAGATGGAAAATTACAAGTATTTTTAAACTCTTATTGAATTCTGCTTTTTGAGATTTTGCTTGTTAATATTAAATAAAATAAAGGTACATGTTGAATTTGGTGAAATTTAATATGACACACAGAAACACACACATTCTAAACCTCTGCTCATAGGAAATGCAGTCACTGCTTAGCACACCTTATAAAACCTTTTGCACAGTCTTACATATTTAATTTTTCAGAAGTAAAGGGATACATATAACTTTCTGTGTTTCATTAACATCGTATTTATGCTAGAGACTCCTTAGTTGAGAATGGATCTGGGAAGGCTTAATTTTTATGATTATATTTTACTATGTTTTAAGAGAGTTTGGCACCATTAAGTTTTATTTTTAATCAACAAATGATCTAATTAAATGATGTAAAAATATTTTTAAAGGCACACATATTTAGAGTCAGTTGTTTTCAAGTGGACTGCTCACAAGGTTCAAATTAATCAGCTAATTACAAACAATATTCTCCTATCCACTTGGGCTGGTGAATATAACCAGGCAAGAAGTTTCCTGAACTGGGAAGAAAACCTACATTACAAAGTTTTGATCCTAGATTCAGTATTATGGTGTGCAATATTCAGTTGTATCAAAGCCCTGGATTTCTTGTGCCAAATAAAATAATCATCTAGGTGGCAAATTTATTTGCCATTTATTTCTAATTAATATTGAAAATAATTAGAGGGTATGTTTTATGCCGTCTACTCTTTTAGGCCTGTGTATAACTTTACTAATTATTCTAGCGATACATAAGATTTAATTAAGGAGAAGTCAATTACAAATATTCCACTGTGTACTGAAGAGAAAACTGCAAATGAATCACTAAGAGGTGAATTGGGAGCTGAGTCTCAATAATGTTAACCTTTGTCAGTGAGTTGTCAAGGATTGATAGGCATGAAAGAATAAATATTTAATTTATATTGGTCCAAAATCTGAGTTTCAGTGACTGACACCTGTATTAACTTTTTTGGAAGCAAAAAGGCTTCGATAAGCCAGGGAACATTCCAGAGGTCGGTAGATAGCAAGATCCTTCAGTCTCTGGTGAATAAAGGATAAATCAATGTGTTTCAGATTAGCCATCCCATTTAGGAGTAACTTGGTTCCAGTAGTCATTCTTGATATTTGTTTCTTAATGTATGTTTTATAAATTCCAGGAGCACCAATGAAAGATGCATATACACATTCATTCTTGCAGAATGTCTTAAAACACTCAAAGACATTTTGAAATCTTCTCATGGCCTCCTGGTTGTCCATGGGCTCTAGAATAAGAACCTCTGCCTAAAAAGATTCTTGAAATCTACCTTGCTGATGTACATCTTGCAATGCTGAAATTAGTGTCTTTTTTATCAGTAGAAATCTTCCTAAGATATTGCTCACATACATAATGACAATGCAAATAGACAATACAGACAGTACTTCATTCATGAATATCAAAAGTGTTTGTAAAACTTAATTAAAATTAGCACAAAAGAGATCAAATTACAAAAAGAGTGCAATATTTTTAAAAGTAGAAATCTAATGTTATTATGTAAGGAAGCTATTGGGAAATAGATATATGGGTGTATATATATACACACACACGATTTTTGAGTGTATAATATCACATACTGCAATTAGATATTGATTTTTTCTTTTTATATCTAATCTTTCATATTTTTTTCTTATTATGTCACCCTCTACTGTCTTACTTACCTCATATAACTTCTTGATTTTAAAAAGTAAGTAGTAGATAATCACTTTAAAAGTAGGCAGAAGGCAGATAGGCTTTTATTAAGTGGTTTTAGAAGTTAAGGAGAAATGATATATTTGAGAAAAAGAGTTCAGGACTAACAAATAGAAAATAATGTAGAAAGAACAAGCAATTGGTAACTAGAAAGTCGGGTTTTTCAAGATCAGTATGAGTACTTATTCCATCATGCAGTATATTAAAATTAATGTCCAAAGGACGATCACCTACGATGACTCTCATTCATTTATTTGACACAAAACATCTTAAATTTTCATTTAAATTCTTTTATAATAATATGTCAATTTACCATTCTTGATCCATTCCCCCATGTTTTTCTTTGCATATCTGGCTTTCTGCCACATGGTCAGGTTAAACTAACACTTCTTAGCTGTGTATTTCTCTTTGGGGAACTTACTTAACTTTTCTCTGCCTCAGTATTTTCATCTGTCCAAAGGTGGCAATCTGAAATTATATTTAGTAAGATTTCTGGGAAGTAAAATAGATAAAACATGTAAAATTGCTTACATCATCAGTTCACGATACATATTAATCACTGAAAAAATATCAGTTGGCATTATTCTCTCACACTTGATGCTTTTTATTTTTTGGCACTCCATGTATGTCCCCTTATATATCTCTCTTATTAAATTTACCAGTCTGTTCATAATTTGAAATATTATGTAGTATAGGATCTAATTTAGGACCTAACACATTGTATATGAAGGAAGAAATTAATTACCAGATTTAGAACGTACATACCTGTGCTGGCAGATGCGCACCATATGACTCCGATCTTGTTAAATGTATAGTTTTAATGATTATTTCAAAGCCTGTGTTAATAAATTTAACATGATTATATAATGCATGTTACAAAACTTATATGGTATATACAATAACAAGATACCATACTAAAGCAACATATAGCCAAAGGAAACCTTATTTCTTACTTTAATGCATATTATCCTTGGATTATAGATAAAAATAATTTCAAAATTTGCCCTCTCTGGTTATAATATATAAAAAAAACTATTAGTTGAATTAGGTTAAATATGCTTAAAAAATAACGCCAGTAACATCAAAACATATTCATAATTCTGTGTAATAGAGACAAATCAAATAAAAATTTGAGCCATATCCATGTGAAAATCTGATAAACAATAAAAATTATGCTTAAGAAAAATTATGTTTATTTTTGTGTCTCTGTGTTTTTCTCTTAGTCAATTTTCTGTTACTTATAACAAAACCTTCATAGTTGGGTAATTTATAAAGAATAAAATGTATATCTTACAGTATGGAGATGAGCATTTCAAGGTTGAGGATCCATATCTGATGAGCGTCTCATTGCTGGTGGTGACTCGCTGTAGAGTCGCAAGGTAGTGAAGGGCATCGCATGGTGAAGGGGAGGAGTGTGCTAGCTCAGGTCTCTCTTTCTCTGCTTTTGAAACCACTAATATCTCTCCCATGACAATTCATTAATCCATTAATCCATTAATTGATAAATTCCCTCCTGAGGGCCGTGATCCAATTACCTCTTGAAGGCCTTACCTCTCGATACTGCCACACTGGGGACAAAGTTCATGCAACATGAATTTCAGAGGGAACAAACTTTCACGTCATAGTGTTCTGCCCTTGGATCTCCAAAACTTATGTCTTTCTCACAACTTTAAATACATATACGTTTTTTTCCATCCTCATAGCCCCAAAAACTCATTTCAGCATCAGCATCAGCTCAAAAGTCCAAATTCCAGAGTCTTACTTGTAAACCTCCGAAATTGAGGCAAGTTATCCACTTTCAAGATAAAATGGTGTTACAGGTATAGGACAGACATTCCCATTCCAAAAGGGAGAGAGAATCAAAATAAGAGTAAAAAGCTCCAAGCAAGTCCAAAACCCAGCAGGGCAAACATTTAGCCTTAAAGGTGGAGAACAATCTCTTTTGATTCCATGTCAAACTTTCTAGAACACACTGGGACAGGGGTTCAAAGCCTCAGGAAGCCCTGCTCCTGTGGTTCTGCTGGGTGCAGCTCATATGACTACCAACATGGGTTGGAGCATGGGGCCTGAAACTTTCCTGGGTGGGTGTTGCATGCTGCTGGTGACTCCACAGTTCTGTAGTCCTGTTCCCATGGCTCCAGTAGGAATTGCCCTGTGAGGATGCGCCGCAGTAGCTTCAACCCCATGTTTCTACTCAGCATTGCTTTACTGGGGGCCTGCTGCAGTGGCCCTGCTCAGCTACAAGCTTCTGACTGGGACCACAGGCTTTTGAAGACATCCTTTGAAATGTATGTGGAGGCTGCCAAACCTCCAGCTTTCTTGCTTCCTGCTAGGCAGCAAAATCCGCACCACATGGACACTGTCAAGGCTTATGACTTTACCTTCTGGAACTGTGGCATGAGCCCCACCTGGAGCTGCATCAGCCACAGCTGGGGTAGCCAGGGAGCACTGTGCTGAGGTGTGGAGGGTAGAGTCCTAAGATGGCCCTCAGCTTCAAGCCCAGGAAGAGCAGCTGAGGTCTGTCCCTTGGAATCATTCTGCCTTCCTAGGCCTCTGGGCCTGGGATTGAAGGGGAAACCTTAAAGATATCTGAAATGCTTTCAGCATCTTTGTTTCATTCCCTTCTATCCATGTTAATCTCATTAGCAAACAGTCCTTCGGCTATGACCTTCATTTCCTCTCCAGAACATACTTTTTCATGTTTTATGTGACCAGGTTGAGAGTTTCCTAAATCTTTCTGTTCTGCTTTCCTTTTAATTATAAATTCTGGCTTTAAATTATTTATTTGCTTTAGAATCTTAGTGTGAGTGGCCAAAAGTAACCATGCATCTTCTTTTATATTTTGCTTAGAAATTTCTTCTGCCAGATATCCTACTTTATCCTTCAAAAGTTTGGCCTTCCATAAAACCCCTGGGCGGTGGCACAGTTCAGACAAATTCTTTGCCAGTTTATAACAAGGCTGGCTTTTACTCTAGTTTACAATGACTTATTCCTCAGCTCCATTTGAAACCTCATGAGAATAGCGTTTACTGTCTATGTTGTTATCAGTTTTCTGCTTATGACCACTTCACCAATCTCTAAGGATTTCCAAACTTTTCCTAGTCTTCTCGTCTTCTAAGTCCTCATTAGAACCTAGGCATTTTCTAGCCTCCTCCTCTAAATTCTTCCAGTCTCTGCCCATGACCCAGTTCTAAAGTTGTTTCCACATTTTTAGGTATTTGTTGTCATCAACACCTTACTCCTCAGCACCAATTTTCTGTCTTAGTCCATTTTTTGTTGCTTACAAGAGAACACCTGAAACTGGGTGATTTATAAAAGAAGAGAAATATATTCCCTACAGTATAAAGGCTGAGTTCAATGTCAAAGGGCTACATCTGGTGAGTGTTTTCTTGTTGGTGGGGACTTGGGAATTCTGAGGTGGCACAGGGCATCACGTGGTGAGAGGGCTGAGTGTACCTGCCCAGGTCTCTTTTTCTCTTCTTATAAAACCACTAATGCCACTCCCATGATAGCCCATTAATTCATTAATCCATTAATTCATGAATAGTTTAATCCACTTATGAAAGCAGAGAACTCTTGACTCAATTACTTCTTAAAAGCTACCTTTCAGTAGTGGCACATTGAGGATTAATTTTCAGCATGAGTTTTGAAGGGTGAAAACATTCAATTCCCAGTACTCTCTTTCTCTTGCTCTACATACAAAAACACACAGACACACATGTTTACACACATAAAGGGAACTGGATGAAAGTAATGTGCAGAATATACTAAATAATGACAATAATTTGAAATGAAGAATTCCAAAAATTGGGTATAATGCTGTTATAAAAACAGAATGAATATTATTTTTACTTTAATGATATTTTTATTTAAACCTTTATTCAAAGCATTTTTAATGATTTAGAATATAATAGAAGAGTGTATCAACGTAGAAAGTATTTTAACAAATGCAATAACATCTTAGTTTATATTCTAGTTGAGCTAAGGCATTGGATCCCTTGCTAATATTATAAATAGCTCATTTTTTTTACTTCTTATAATTCTCATCTCATAGGTTCTATTCTGTTTATTTTTCATACAAATATCTTTTACATATACTTAATTTTATGGTATAAAATATAATAATACATCTATTATAAAAATATTCTCTAGGGAGCTATCAGTGTATCACTTTTAGAGGCATTAAGCTGTCATTGCTTGACCCAGACATACTTTATGTGTACCATTGAGAAGACCTATGATAGAAATTACAATAAGAATTTCTTAAATGGATTTTTTACCTTCTCTTTTTTCCCTGTGGCTGTTCATGATTGAGCATTAAGTGCAAACATATTTCTGTTGCCTGATTTTGAATATAAATAAATAATGACAATTACTAATGTTAAGAATTAATTCATTTTTATTTTTTGTTTTTATTTCAGTAAGTTTTTGAGGATCAGGTGGTGGTGTTTACATAAGTTCTTTAGTGGTGATTTGTGAGATTTGGTGTATCCATCACCCGAGCAGCGTACACTGTACTCAGTGTGTAGTCTTTTATCCCTTGCCACCCGACTCTTTCCCCTGAGCCCTCAAAGTTCAATGTATCATTCTTATGCCCTGTGTCCTCATAGCTTAGCTCCCACATATGAGTAAGAACATATGATGTTTGATTTTTCCATTCTGGAGTTACTTCACTTAAAAATTATAATAAAAAAAGACATTGGCATTGATGCAGTCAAGATATAGAACATATCTCTCATCACAAAAAAAGAATTAAACATTACGAAATTTTATACATTAATAATTTGATTAAATATTTTGCTTAAAATAAAGCAAAAGTAGATTTAAAAGTATAAAGTCTTGGAAATATAGAGAAAATATATTGTGTTGTAAGATTCATTTTTATATCCTGCATGTATTTTCATGCCTACATACAGAAATTTTATAGTTTAAAAAACTTTTTCTAACTAATCATAATTTTATTTCTTGACCATCTCATAAACATGCACATAGATAAGGGACAAATATGGTGCAATGTAGGATATCCAGTAATGCCAAATTCAGTTGATTATCTTGTGACCTGCAGATTTGAGTTGTGATTATGAAATCATGAACTGACCATGAAAATTCCAGCTAGAAACAAAAGGAGGGGATAACATTCAGGTGAACAAGTCTATCAATGTGCTAAAATTAGAGGACATTTTTCAGGAGCAAAATAGTTCATTCAGGGATTGTGAATTACAGGTAAACTGTATTCTATGGCCTATTACCCTCTCCCTTATCCTCTCAATCTGGTGTTATACATATGCTTTACTTTATTAGTTTAGCTTTTAGTGGGACTTACAAAACTACTCTTGGCTAATTTAGTTGAATAGTTTAGAAACTATCTATTGGTGAAATATTTTTTGGTTTATTTTAAAAATAAACACTCAAAGCTTATATATGCAATTATGATTTGTCAATTTAATAGTAATAAAATTAAAAAAGTAATAAAAATGCTCAAAGCTTATATTTTGCAAAATTGCCATCGGAGAGCATTACCATCTGAGTTCTGCCTCCTGTCAGATCAACTGCACCATTAGATTCTCATAGGAATGCAAATCCTACTGTGAACTGCGCATGCGAGGGATCTAGGTTGTACACTCCTTATGAGAATGTAACTAATGCCTGATGATCTGAGGTGGAATAGTTTCATCCCGAAACGATCCGCCTTCTCTGTGGAAAAACTGTCTTCCACAAAACTAGTCCCCGGTGCCAAAAAGGTTGGAGACCCTTGCTTGATAGCATATAACACTTCTGATGCTGTGATCATTTTATGTATTAATGTGATTAGGCCACAGGTTTCCTAGATATTTAGTCAGGCCACTATTACGGTTGCATCTGTGAGGCTGTTTGTTGAGATTAACATGTATGGTAGACTGAATAAAGCAGACTGTCTTCCTTTATGTTGGTGTTAATCATCCAAATCAATTGAAAGTGGGAATAGAATAAAACATGTTTGACTCTCCTCTGAGCAACAGGGAACTCCTTTTGCTGAATGGATGAGCTGGAACATGGGCCTTTTCTAGCCTCTGGACTCAAATGGAAACACCAGCACTTGCTGGGTCTCCAGTGTTCTGGCTTTCAGACTCAAATTTGTGCCATTGTCTCTCCTGGTGCTCATTGGACTGGGCTAGAACTACATCTTCTAAGTCTTCAGCTTTCCAATTGCAGATCTTGGGACTTGTCAGCTTCCATAATCATGTGAGCAATCCCTTATAATAAATCTCTTTATCTTTGTGTATATACATTATATTGGCTGTATTTTCTAAAGAGCCTTAATTTAATGCCAATTTTTTGCATGCTTGCTTCCATTTGGTCAGTGCGAGGCACCAGAGGAAATGGGACAGTCTAAGGAATGTTCTCCTTTAGGACTAGCGGTTGTAAAAGATCCTCCACTGTTCCCATGACTTTATTTATAATATTAATTTTTAAAATGTGAAATACATTATTGTAATATGATTTTTATCCACGAATAAAATAAAATGTCATTCACTTAAAAATTATAAATCTGGCCAGACTCAGTGGCTCGTGCTTGTAATCCCGGCACTTTGGGAGGTCAAGGCGGGCAGATCACGAGGTCAAGAGATTGAGACCATCCTGGCCAACATGGTGAAACCTCATCTCAACTAAAAATATAAAAATTAGCTGGGTATGGTAGTGGAAGCCTGTAATCCCAGCTACTTGGGAGGCTGAGGCAGGAGAATCCCTTGAACCTGGGAGGTGGAGGTTGCAGTGAGCTGAGATCGGGCCACTGCCCTCCAGGCCTGGCCACAGAGTGAGACTCCGTCCCAAAATATATATATATATATATATATATGACCAGCAAAGAACATATATATATATATACCGTTTCTTGGCTCAGAGAACTTCTTCTCTGCTTCTCTTCTAAATACTAAGAAATATTCTTTCTAACCACATTGAAGAGGAATTTTACAATGACAGCTAGTAGGTTTTATTTCTGCCATGCTTTTGTGATTGATTTTGTTAAGTTTTGCTTCATTTCCTTTGAAACATCTTTTTCCCCAAGTTGAAGAATCAATATAGCTGCTACAGTTATATATAATTTAATAGGAATAGTAGTTTAAAATATTAACCCATCATAGTTTTTTTTTTTTCTTAAATGCATTTATTTTCATCCTTTCACTAACTAACTTGAGTCATGAGGGTTCTCACCACAGCATAAGGAGTTTGGTGGTAGCTGATTACAGTAGGAAAGATGGGGATATTTGAATTGTTCTTTGCCGGTCCAAAAACAAACACCACAAAGAGAGGCATATTAAATAGTGTGAGGACAGGAAGGAAAATAGTATTGAGGCAGCTGTGTTTGGAGGCAAGAAAAAAGCTTGTATAAATACTCTGCAATTGTCTTGGCACCAGTGTAGCATTGAATGGATCCAAAGTTCTTCAATACACCAACAAAATATAGTAAATATCAGCAAGTGTCATACTGGGGTGATTATATAAGAGATTATTTAGGCAGAAGAAAGTGACCAGGTACTTGAGGGCTTTGTGGCAGTTGGTTCTGGCAAGGAACAAATTTGTGTCCTAGCCATAGTTCAGAACATGCCAAAAAAGAATAAAGTGTGGCCAAGTCATTAGTGGAGAACCATAATGTACAAGCAACTCCAAAGAAGAGACCATATGTTCTCCAAATTCTAGAATCAATAACAGATGCAGGCAGAAGTTCAACACCCAGTAGAATAGGAACCATTGCCCCTGTGACCAGTATAGTCAACACATTGCTCAACTCCAGGATGCCTAGAGTGTATCACAATGTAAAACAGTACAATGTAGAGTACCTAGAGGTTTATAGATCCTGTCTCCTTGATACAAGCACACGACACAAGCTTCTTTAACCCACCATCAACATATATACATCAAAATTCCATAGGGAATAAAAAGAAATCTCAAAGACAGAGATGTCCTTTCTTTTCCCATAAAACTTATATTGATGGAATTAAAAATTGACTCAAAATTGATGGAATTCAAATGCTTATGTGTAAGGAGATTTTACATATTTTATCTTTGAAAATGTCTTTTCATGCAGACAGGTACTGCCAAATGCTGATTTAAATGCACAAGTATATTATTTTAATGAGCATATTTATTAATTACAACATATTTATAGAATTCTATTTTTTTCTTTTCTTTCTTTTTTCCTTTTTATAAGAGATGAAGTCTCACTCTGTTGTTTAGGCTGGAGAGCAGTGGCATGATCATAAGGAGACCATTATATTTGTGAAGAATACTGCTAAATCTAAATGTTATTTTCATTTGATAAATTAATATGAAATATTAAGGCAGCTCTGTGATAAGTGTTGAATCATTTCAATGAATGAAACTGTGAAAGTTCTGGTGATTTGAAAATTTGTCTTTATACATACTTATCACATGATTCAAAAACAAAATAAAAAGGCAAGATAATACCAATAATTTAGTAACTCTTTTAGGTGCTTTGACATCTCGGCCAACATACATACCCTCGTTTTCCAACTATTTGGACTTAATTTTACTTAAAAGTGAAATAGATTGTTTCAGTTATAGGAGAGAACTAAATTCCTATTTTGTCTCTGTTTTCTATAGATTTGTTTCCTGATATTAAGTTAGGTTTCTTGGTGTTAATTCTACATTCCAATTTCAGGACTCTGCAAAATGGTAATAAAATGTTAAGTGAATAAGCTATATTTGTATTATGTGTCACATATCAATAGATAGGGCAGATAGGAAGAAAATAAGAAATGGAAGAAAGAAATAAATGAAGAAAGGAAAGAAGAGAGGAAATTAGGGAGGGAAGAAAAATAAATAAGAGGGAAGGAAGGAATAGACATATTAAAGATATAAATAATATTAGTAGTGTTCTCCCACTCCTTTCCCATTAGATATCTGTATAGCTCATGTTTTGCTAATGTTATTTGAACTTTTTGATTAATCTACATGTTATACAATGTACATACATCTCACTATAAGCATAACAGTCAAATTGTTAAAACAAATAAAAATTATTAACAAAATTGAGTTTCATTTGGCTTTGATATTAACCATGGTTTGGTCCTCTTCTCAAAATTAAGAAAAATCAGGCTGCCTTTGATATTTTTAGTCTATCTCTTAAAATTAAAATTTAATGTATGCTAAAGTTTCCTGCACATATATTTCTTTAGAAAGTACATTATATTTTTCCTCAAATCATGTACATGTAATGTTGAAATATGGAAAATGTGGAATTTCTTATTCATATTGGAGATGCCACGAACATACCTTTGTAATTCGCTATTGTCAGAAAAAGTTTCTTTCTCTATTTTCTACATGTTATGAATAGGAATACAAAGAATTTAATGATATTATAATATACTTCTTATTTAGGTTTTAAAAATACCATTAAGTGAATAGAAAGTAAAACAGTTGCAATTACAAACTTATAATCTCAGGGCTATAACATAGTGTAGTCAAATTGCATATGCTAAATATACACATATTTATATAATTAAAAATATTTTTATAAATTTTAAATATAAATATTATTTTTAAAACTATGTTTAATTTAAATTTTTTTTAACTATACCAAAAACACATTTCTGTAAACTGTGACAGAGTATGCAATTCATAGCTCCTTTGCTGAGTTTTGGACATCTATAAATTAAATGTTTGGTGAATTTAGAAATAAGACAAATTCCTCTTTACAATATTCCTAAAGGTGTGTTCAGTGATACTGATTTCTTGTCATCATTTTGAGGTAATATTTCTGTGAAACATCTTATTCATAATTGTGATTATTTTTTGGGCTACCCCAGACTTCTGTTGCTGAAGTTAAATCATGAGTATATGTGGCTGAGAATCGGGGGCTTTCTACTTATTTTCTGGCCCCACCAATAGGACAAGGTTCTCTCATTGGCATAACACCACGGGGAATACTGATGCCAGGATCCTCATTAACCTTGTACTAACTTGTGGTTCCACACAGAGATAGGTCAAGTGTGACCTGCACTGCTGCTATGTGTTGAGGAAAAAATATTGCTGTAAATGTCTATATTAGGAAAACAAGACAAATCTCAAATCTATAATTTAACCTCACCATTAGGACATTGGGACAAAAGAAAAACAAATTGAACTTAAAAGAACTGGAAAAAAGAAATTATAAATACAAGAGCAGAAATGAATTAAGTATGGAATGACAATGAAAAGAAATAAAAAGCTGTCCTTTGAAAAGTTTAAGAAAATTGACAAATCCTTAATTGGATTGACCAATTGAAACAAAGAAGACTCTATTAAAATCAGAAATTTAAAAAAGGGTAAAATATTGCCAATTTTGCTGAAATTTGAAAATAAGTAAAGATAAAGGAATACTATGAACAACTGTGTGCCAGTAGACTAGACAACTCAGATAAAATGGAAAATTCCTAGTAAGACAAAAATTATCAAAATTGACTGAAGAAGAAACAATCTTTATAGACTCACAATATATAAATAGAGTAATTAGTCAAAATAATTCTAATACCCAAAAAGAAAATTCCAGACCAACATTGATTTGCTGAAACATTTTACCAAACATTTGAAAAATTAAATGTTTATTTAATTTTTCACAAACCATTACAAAAATAAGAAGAAACCCTTTCCAACTATTTCTATGGTGTGACTATTAACTTGATATTAATGTCAGAAAAATACCTCAGAAGAAAAGAGACTACAGATCAATATATTCTATAAATATGGAAATAAAAACCCTCAACACAATACTAACAAACTGAATCCAGCAACATTGAAAAAATAATTATATAACAAGACTAATTTGGACTTCTCACAGGAATGCAAGTTTGGTTTAACACCCAAAAGTCATTCAACATAATACATCATATAAATACAATTAAAAAGAGGCATGGTAATATCGATAGACCAAGAAAAAGCATTTAGCAAATACAAATTGTCTATAATGAAAACAAACTCAACAAGAAATAAAAAAGGCTTTCCTAAACCTAATAAAAGTATTTATAAAAAACTCAAAGCTAATATGTTATTTAACACTGAAAGATGGGTAGCTTTACATATAGCTTTGAAACAAAACCAAGATGTCTGTTTGGCCCATTTTATTTAGCACTGTACTAGAATTCTACCAGAGCAATGGCATGAAAAAAAATTAGAAATATCCAGAATGGTAGGGAAGAAACAAATTTATCTACATTAAAAAATGGCATCATTACACCTATAAAATATTAAGAAATACACTTAAAATAGTTTAAATTAATAAATGTGTTGATCAAGGTTACAGGATGCAAGATCAATACACGAAAAGTAGTTATATTTTATACACTTGCATTGAACAATACAGAAAGGAAATAAAGAAAACAATTCCATGTTATGTAGCATAAAATAATAAAATATTCAAGAAATAATTTAACCAAAAAGAAAAAAAAAATATGCTTTGAAAACTACAAAACCTCATTGAAGCTAATTAATTATGATCCAAAAATATAAAAAATCATTCCATGTTCATGGATTTGGAGATTTCACACTATCAAGGTGACAAAACTCCCTAAATTAACCTACAAGTTCAATATATTCCTAATAGAGTTTCAGCTGCTTTTTTTCTAGAAATTCATAAATAGATTTTAAAACTTACATTGAATTGAATGGGGCCCTTAATAGCCAAAACAACATTGAAGAAAAGAATATAGGTGGAGGACACACACTTCTTGATTTGAAACTTACTACAAATCAATAGTTAACAAGTTAATATGGTACTGGCATAAGAGAAGACATATATATATATATGTAAATGGAATAGAATTGAGAATTCTGAAATATATCTATGTCTCCATGGTCAACTGATTTCTGAGAAGGATCAATAAGATTAAAAGGGAATGCATAATCTTCTCATAAATAATGCAAGGGCACCAAGATAGCCACATGCAAAACAATGAAGCTGGACTTTTACTGCAGGGCATATCCAAAACAGATCAATGCCTTACATATAAGAAGAAAAACAATATTATGTTTAGAAGAAAGTATGAAGCTATATATTTACTATCTTGAATTGGGTAATGGATTCATAGATATGATACCAAAAGCACAAGCAATACAGGAAATATAGATAAGTTAAGCTTTGTAAAAAATAAAAATACTTTTCTTTTAAAGGATACAATCAAAAAAATGAAAAGAATTCACAGAATGGGAAGAAATGTTTGTGTGTTACATATCTAATAACAAACTTGTATCTAGAATATATAAAGAACAAATACAACTTAATAATAAAAAGACAAATAATTCAACTGAGAAATGGGCAGAGGACCTAATAGACATTTCTCCAAGGAATATATACAACTAGCTGATAAGCATACAAAAAGATGCTCGTATCATCAGTCAGGGGAAAACGAAAATAAAAACTGTGAGATATCACTTCACACACACTAGGATAGGTTAATGAGAAATCAGATAATAACAAGTGTTGGTCAGGATGTGAATAAACTAAAACACTCATATACTGCTGCTGGAAATGTAAAGTGATTCTGCCACTTTAAAAGAGTCTGGCAGTTTCTCAAGTGGTTGAGCACATTAAACATTGAGTTAACATATGACCCAACTTTTTCACTTATAGGTGTATATCCAGAAATAATGAAAATGCATGTCCTCAAAAAAACTTGTACATGGATGTTTTTAGCAACATTATTCATGGTAGCCATAAACACCCATCAATAGATGAATGGATAAACAAAATGTTGTATATCCATAAATGGAATATTATTTGACCATAAAAAATCAAGTACTGATATGTGCTACAGGATCAATGAACCTTGAAAACACTGTGCTAATTGTTAAAAGCCAATCACAAAAGTTATATGTTTCCATTTATATAAAATGACCACAATAGGCAAATGTATATCAACAGACGAGCTGCAGGTTATTCACCACATAGGGCTGGAGGAATTGAGGAATAGGGGGTGAGAGCAGAAAGTGTACAGAGTTTTTTTTTTTTTTAAGTTGTCAAACTGTTTTAAAATTTACTGTGTTGATGGTTGTACATTTCTGTGAATGTTAAAAACCATTGAATTGTACATATTAAAGGCTTGCATTATGTGGTTCGTGAATTATATCTCAATAAGGCTGTTACAAAAAACTTACAATAAGTATAAAAATGACTGTGAAGTTAGTCCCAATAAAATTCAGTGCATGAATTCCCATATAAATTGTGTTATAGGTATATGGGCACATGTATATTTCTGAATACTTATACAGACATACACTTGTACCCATACATGTATAACACAAACTTAGTATTTAGAACCCAAATGAAAAATATTTTTCCATTGATACGTGCACATTTTTATATGTATGTATGTACTCATACTTGCTTGGTATATTCCAAAATGGCATAAAAGCAATTTTATAAAATGAATAGTCATGGAGTATTCACATGCTTAGAGGTTAAATAACAAAGCATTTCACATATTCATTGCAAAATAGGCTAAATAAAAATAAAATATAATACTAAATCTTTTTGTTTCCTCTGTCCGTATTCTTTATTTTCTCTACAATCATGGACAACTCTGATATATTTCATCAAAACTTAATTATAATTTCCAAGGCATTAAAATTTCATTAGTTTATCAATTGTAAAATTCACACATTTTGGCAAATGACTGTCATGTTACAATTTTGGGACAATTAATTAGTTTGAACTTATAAAATTACATTTTGATTTTAAACATAACAGAAGAATAAAAAATAATAATGTAAGTTAAAAGATTATGGTATGTATCATGGTGCTGTTGCTTCTTGATTTTGCATTGTCTGTTTAGGTCCAAGGTTTTTTTCATCTCCAAATCTGTTACAAATTAGCTTTTGGAAATCTCATTTATATATTTGTTGAATCTATTAGTAAATCACATTGTTATCTGTTTTTTCAGTAGGATAAAATTTTTTTTTCTTAAGTAAATAAATTTAACTGAGTTTACTCACCATTACATAATGTATTAATTAGTTCTATTAGAGAAGATAATACAAATTAAGTGATGCATCTTTGGTTTACGCACAAC
The DNA here is from genome assembly GCF_000001405.40 of Homo sapiens. Lineage (NCBI taxonomy): Eukaryota > Metazoa > Chordata > Mammalia > Primates > Hominidae > Homo > Homo sapiens. The sequence goes on along the minus strand of NC_000013.11, from coordinate 88,528,692 downwards.
ACCTTAGGAAAAATTAAAAGTTCATGTTTTAGAATCATTTTCAAAAGTGAAAATAATCTTACCTTTTCATAATCTGACCTAATTGTAGTTTAGTGAGATACTTAACTATTCTTAACTGAGATAAAGCTAAAATATTTGTAAGCAATTTTCTCATACTGGTTTTGCCTGGTGTTGTCGTTTGTATGAATGTAGTATCAATAGATTTTATGCTTATTTAAACTAGAAAATAGAAACTATATGGTTAAATGATAGCTGATATAATTGGGAATCTATTCCTAATGAAAAAAGTGGTAACTATCCTTTGGGATTTTGAATTTCATTGTAATCTCCAGATTCTTTTTTTTTTTTTTTTCATTTTTGAGACATTGCTACCATTGTATACATATAAACAGGACTCTAGGTAGAGAATGCTTGCATAAATATTTTGCTAAAAATGCCTGAGAGCTTCTTTGCTCTTTTCTGGAGTAAGTTATGCTTGCTTAGCTGTCAGAATTAGATTTTGAACTCTCTCCACAAGAGTATCCCTTTAATAGAAACAGATATGTATCATTGAAAAATATATTTTTAAAAAACCCTTCCTTAAAAAACAATTGTAGAGATTTAAAAATATGTATTTTCAAACTGGTTCTAATAATAGTATTACATTTTGTACTTCAAAATTAATTTACCTTGGTCATTTTCCTGTCAAAACACAAAGATCTGGTGGAATAACTTAGATGTAATGGGTTTTGGCCACAGTAATTTATTCTATAAGCTTACCTTTTCAGTTAACATTAATTAAAAGCAGCTTTTGAGCAGAATGTGCACAGTGAGGTAAATAGCAGCAGATACTGTTATACACATTGAGAGGTACAAAAACTTTCAGGTAGAGTTAGGAAGTCAAGAAGAATTTGTTCTGATCTAACTATTATATTCTGAGTCAATCTTCATTATCCATTACTGGAAAACGATAAAGCCTAAGACATTTATCCTTTCCCTATCTTATCTGCTTCTTTTGGAACATACCAATTATTTTATTTGATCTAAAATGCTACAGATATTCTTGGAATCAGTGAGTGATTACTCCCTAAAATGGGGACGAGATAAGTTTATCCCTAAAGCATAATTTATTAACATTGGTTGGGAGATTAAAAGGAGGAATTTAAGTCTTAGTCACTTGGGAAATGACATATATTTAACATGGCAAATGCTTTGAGAGAAAGCTAGATGAAACTCTAAATAGAAAGAAAATAGTAGCACAAAACACAGAAAATGTCAAGCATTTTAAATATGAAAGTAAACGTAATGCAGAAAAATTAAGAAAAATATGTAATTATTAGAATGGTGATAGAGATGGAAATTAGTAACCTGGATGTGATTTTTAGTATCTTTAGCATAAGAATGAATAAGAATTGTAAGGGGAAAATAAGGAACGGGTTTCTACTCAATGACACCCAGAACATAGAAACCATTAGAATAAGCGTAAAACTATAAAAATATATATATATATTTTATATGGTATTTTCATCCTCCAAGGTTTATAAGCAATAAATTCAATAGCAAACCAATAAAGTGAGATTGGTGGGCCAGTAAAGGAGAATGTGTGTCCTGTTAATATCGTTCTCCACCTTGCTGAAGCAGACCATGTGTGTGTGATTTCCCGACTTTCACATACCTCAAATCTCCGAGGCAGGAGCAGAATCCGCCGGAGGCGAGAGTTAATGCATGAAGTCATGTGTACAACTGATAGAGTCAGCAGCCACACAAGCAAGGAATTTTAGATCAGATGAATCCTAGAAAATATTTTGAAATGTGTGTAAAAAGGCTTTTATTTCTAGAGAATTGATGGTGAATTCACAATTACCCGTGAAAGAAAACAGAATCTTGGAACCCCAAACTTGCTATTTCAAATGGAGAGTTAAAATTTGGACCTGAGACACACAAAACTGCCTTCCTATTGTTCTCAAACAGACAGCTGTAATTTCACAAGCTTATGTCATAACGTCATACATAAGCCAGGTTCCCACAGTGGGAGAAGGCTACAGGTCTTCCCAGATGGCCTGTCTCACAAATGTTGGACAAAAAAATTCCTTGTGGGCCCCAAATTGTTTAGAATGCATGCTCCCCCTTGAAACTAGCCCTGAAACCAAGTTCTGTTAAATCTTTTCTCGACAGTGTCAATTACCAGCTTATCTTCACAGGTACAGACAAGACAAGGACAAAATTAGAATTCATCCCTCTTCCCACTCTGAGATGAATGCATCATTGATTTTTTCCTCTACTGTCTGCTCTTTCACATGTAAAATGTAGATTCACTGAGCAGTAATTCGAGCCTCGTGAGAATGCAACCACTTGCTTCATTGCTCACCCTCCCCTCTTTTTTTGTTCTTCTCCTTCTGCTTGCTCTGTCCCCTTTAAATACTGAGGTTCTCAAAAGCCTCTTTGGAAAATGTGCAGGTCACAGATGCTCCTGTGATTTGTGTTTCTCCTGGGCACATTCTCGACCCTGGCAAAATAAATCTCTAAGCGATTGATACCTGCCTCAGTCACTTTTTCATTTATATACTCTACCCTTTATTTTTTTTAAGATAAAGAAGACAACACATAATTCATTAAATAGCCCTGAAAAAGTAAACAATATTTTGTTTTTTAAAGTTAGAGTTTTATAAATTTAAAATTTAAGTAAAATTTTGATTTCCAACACCATTATTTAAAAACATCAAAAGAAGGAAATTATAAAATTATCCCCAATAGATACTGAAGCACAGTTTCATTATAAAGGTGGCTTACTGTAAAAGTGTACATGTATAAGATGCATATATATGTGTGTGGATGTAATTACACATACAATAATATGTTATGTTAAATATATTCTTACATGTAATTTCCATCAGTAAAAAAAATTCTGTGAAGATTAGAAGTTATTTCAAAACCAGAATGTAAAGTTGTATTAGGATTCTCTAATAGGAGATTTAAGATCCTCTATCTATATCTGTATCTATATTTAAATCTAAATCTATCTATTTACGTATCTATCTGGAGAGAGAGAAGGAGAGAGAGAGGGAGAGAAGAGATTTATTATGGGAGATTTCTTACAGGATTATGGAGGCTGAGAAATCCCACGATATTCCTCTTATGAACTGGAGAACTAGAAAAGCTGATGGTGTAACTCAGACCCAGTCTGAAGGCCTGAGAACAAGGAATTCCTATGTCTGAGGAAGGAAAAGCTTGATATCTCAGAGAAAGAGATACAATTCACCCCTTCTTCATGTATTTATTCTATTTGGGGCTCTCAATAGGTTGGATGAGTGTATAAGTTCATTCTCACACTGCTATAAAGAACTGCCTGAGACTGGGTAATATAAAGGAAAGAGGCTTAATTGGCTCACAGTTTCAAATGGCTGGGAAGGCCTCAGGAAACTTACATTTATGGTGGAAGCGGAAGCAAATATGTCCTTCTTCACATGGTGGTGGGAAGGAGAAGTATAGAGTGAAGTGAGGGATAAGCCCCTTAGAAAGCCATCAGATCTCATGAGAACTCACTCAGTATCATGAGAACAGCATGAGGGTAACCACTCCCATGATTTAATTACTTCCCACCAGGTCCCTCCCATGAAACTTGGGGATTATGGGAACTTTAATTCAAGATGAGATTTGGGTGGGGACACAGCCAAACCATATCAATAAGGCACACCCTAATAGGTGAGAGCAAATCTTCTTTATTCATTCTATTGACTCAAATCCTAATCTCCCCCAGAAACACCTTCATAGACACAACTAAAAACATGGTTTTATCATTGGTCTGGTTATCCCTTGGCCCAGTCAACTTGACACACAAAATTTACCATCACCACAGTGTTTTTGGAGTGAGAGAATCCTGAAAGTAGAACAGTAAATAGTGTACTAGAAGTAAGAAAGAAAAGGATGGAATAATTATCACAGATTTAGAATCATTAACTTGATCTTAAACACAAAGCTCGGGGGTGGTGGATATCTGTGCTTTACTAGTGCAAGTTTGTCTTCGTTTATTGAGCTCACATAATGACCTGGTTATACTTAGTTTAAAGTTATGTATGAGCAAGTCTAGGCTTGACTATGTATTACAAAAATACTCAAAAAGCACTGTTGTAAAAATGATAGAAGGCTATTTTTTATGAATTGTCAAACAAGTACAGGAATCATGAATCCAAGACTTTTAATCCACTTGAAGGTAAGATAGATTAGTTACTCTCAATCATAGTCCTGTACTTTCTTATTTTCTATTCCCAGATTTACCTCTTAGTACAAGATTATAGCTGAAGATTCAGCAGTTACACTTGGCATTTCAAACAGCAAGAGTAAGAGAAGATAGATACAGGTCTCTTCTCTATAAGAATACTTCTAAGAACTATTCTTGAGTGCCAACCCTATGAATTTAATCACATTAGCAAAACTGTCTTAAAAGTCTCTAGAATATTCAGTCTGTACTTTGCACCTATGCATCTAACCAGATTTTCATTAGTGAGAAAGAAAGATTACACACATAAACATTTCATAAATATATAGAGGGACTTCTAACATCAATATTCAGTTGTAAATCAGTATAACCTTGAGTTAATAATGACACGCCAACATTGGTTTACAGACTATGAAAAATGCGCCATAGTAACCTATTAGCATGCTCAATGTTTCACGTATTTCTAGGTAGAGTGTTGGAGATGCCACCTTGTTTCAACTGACTGCCTATAGTAAAATTAAGAAGGAGATACATGAGGTTAAAATTTAATAAATATTTTTAAGAATTTAAGCAAAAATTAAAATCATATTAATAAGATACAGCTTTCTGGGTTTAAAATTTAAATTATTTTTTATTCTCTCCTATTCAAGTTTCTCAAATAAAAAGGGACTTCAGAGGAAAAGTTAAATTCAGTATGTAAATATAATATCATTGGCAAAGACCACAGAAAAATCCAAATTAATGCCTCGAAAATATTCAGTTAGACAAAATATTCATTAATTATTAGTCAGCATGCCTCATACTTTTCACTGAAGTGCATCTGAAAATATTAAGAAAAGTGTCCTAATCACCCTTACAGGAAATTCAAGGCAGAGAAAGTCTTATGTTGGAGATTTTTAATGTGTCTTTTGTCTAATGGAGTGAATAACCAATTAATTCATAAGACCCACAAAAATGTTATATAGAGCTATTTAAGCTTGAACTAGAAGGAACAGAAACAGTGCAAAATTAAAGGGGATCTTTGGACCCTCAGACTTCTAAAGGCCAACAGCAGGCTCACGAAACGATTTCACCGGCCATCTCTGCACAGTTGTGCCATGAATGTTTGTATCTTCTAGATGTCAGCCATTCCTCTCCCACTTTTGAGTGGGAGTGGCTATAGTGATTATTCAATTTCTGTTCCACCATTGTATTTGGGTTGAGAGGGATACCTTGTCTTGTTGGTTCTTTATTCTTTAATTGAGATAAACTAAATGTGCAATGTTCTACCAAAGAAAACATTTCTGAGGAACTCTATTGATACATGGGCCAGATTCTCATGTGCAGACCTTGAACCTCAGGAATGAACTTGTTGCAGTGGATCAGTAGTCAGCAAACTGTGGGCAACACAAATGTGACTCCACATTTCCTTCTTGTACTGCCCTAGCAGAGGTTCTCCATGAGTACCCCACCCCTGCAGCAAACTTATGCCTGGACATCCAGGCATTTCCCTACATCCTGAAATCTACAAATCCTTTTACCAAAGGAAACATTTCTGAGGAACTCTACTGATACTTATACATGGGACAGATTCTCACGTGCAGACCTTGAACCTTGAAGAAGCACTTCAGTGAAAAGTATGATGCATGCCAACTAATAATTAATGAATATTTTATCTAACTGAATATTTCTGAGGCATTAATTTGGGTTTTTCTGTGGTCTTTGCCAATGATATTATATTTACATACTGAATTTAACTTTTCCTCTGAAGTCCCTTTTTATTTGAGAAACTTGAATAGGAGAAAATAATCTGAACTTGTTGCAGTAGATCAGAGGTCAGCAAACTGTGGGCAGCAGGGCAATTCTGACCCACATGTTTGTAAATGAGGTATTACTGAAACACAGCCATATACATTCATTTACACATTGTCTGGGGCTACTTTCAAGCTATAATGGCAGAGCTAAGTAATTTGGACAGAGATTGTATATACAGTACTAAAAATATTACTGTTTCATATATGATTATTTGAAAATGGGTCTTAGAAAGTGGGATATATTTTTTATATGCAAATAATGTAAACCTCATGTGGCCAGAGGTCAACAAAAAGGTCTGCACATATTTTGGTCAATTCTCCAACCTATATTTGAGTGTACTTTCTTTCTCCTCAAATATAGGGTCACCTTAATTTCTAATTTGTAATGTGTACACTGCAATAGAAGTAACATTGTCTAAAGCATGGTACTAAAAATCATTACAGCTTTTGCTCTCCTTTCTTTTTCTCAGGACACACACTCTTGGAACCCAACAACTATGCTATAAGAAAGCCCAAATTAGCTTACAGGGAGAGAAACAGAGAAGTCCAAGTAGAGAAAAGTTGACAGCCCAGATGAAAGCCACCAACAACCACCAGGTGGAAGTCGGATTCAGATGATTTTAGCACCCTAGCAAATAAGATATGAATGTACAATCTTGAGACTTATTGGTTGTGGTAGATATCTCACTATTTAGAAGTAGCCAACCTAGTAAAATGGTAGAATGTCTTATAAAATCTGAGTTAATTTGCCAGACTGGAAACAAGACCCTGTGTGTTTGGATGTTTTCCTCTAAGATGCAGTATATGAACTAAAATATAGTGCTGTGTCCCAAACTACTAGAATTTGTGACTTCAGGAGTAATATTGCCCCTGCTCTTCGTAAGTCCCTATGGCTCACCTGTAGAATTTTTGCTTAAATCCTCACAACTTCTGGCTCTGCAAATTTGAGATCCTGATTTTGAATTAGGAATATGAGTGCATATCTAATAAACAGAGTTGTAAGAATTTCAATAAACTCAAAGCTATGAATAACACCTGGTCATTTAGGACTCCTCATTACCTCATTAAAGATGAAAAAAGACTGTATGAATACTTATTATAAGTTTTAAGATTTTTTGTGGTTAACTATTTGATAATTTTAGTATACATTACAAAAACTTACAAAAATATATGTTCTGGATTTGAAAGATTTAAAGCTCAATTGTACTATTTTCTGTTTTTACTTTTTATTATGTTTTCGATTTGTGATACACTACAATTGGTAAATCTGAAGAAGATTTTATGTTTCCCATTATAACTTTATTTATGCTTTCTCAAATTATTTCTGCATTTCTTACAGTTTTTGGCTAAAAAAAGGTATGCTACTAAGCTCACTTGGAATTTGTGTTAGTCTGTTTTTATGTAGCTGATAAAGAAATACCCGAGACTGGGTAATTTATAAAGAAAAAGAAGTTTAATGGACTCACAGTTCCATGTGGCTGGGGAAGTCTCATAATCATGGCAGAAGGCTAAAGCCATGTCTTACATGGTGATAGACAAGAGAGATAATGAGATCCAAGTGAAAGGGTTTTCCCCTTATAAAACAATCAGATCTTGTGAGATCTATTCACTATCACAAAACAGTGTGAGGGAAACTGCGCCCATGATTCAATTATCTTCCAGTGGGTTTCTCCTACAACACATGGGAATTATGGGAGCTATAATTCAAAATGAGATTTGGGTGGGGACACAGTCAAACCATATTATTCTGCCCCTGGCCATTCTCAAATCTCATGTCCTCACATTTCAAAATCAATCATGTCTTCCCAACAGTCCCCCAAAGTCTTAAATCATTTCAGCATTAACTCAAAAGTCCACAGTCCAAACTCTCATCTGAGACAAGGCAAGTCTCGTCCACCTATGAGCCTGTAAAATCAAAAGCAAGTTAGTTACTCCCTGGATACAATGGAGATACAGGCATTGGGTAAATACAGCCATTACAAACGGGAGAAAATGGCCTAAATCGAGGGGCTACAGGCCCCATGCAAGTCCGAAATCCAGTGGGGCAGTTAAATCTTAAAGCTTCAAAATGATCTCCTTGGACCCCAGGTCTCACATCCAGGTCATGCTGATGCAAGAAGTGGATTCCCATGATCTTGGGCAGCTCTGCCCCTGTGACCTGCAGGGTACAGCTCCCAGATGCTTTCAAGGGCTGGGTTTGAGTGTCTGCATCTTTTCCAGTTGCATGGTGCAAACTGTTGGTGGATCTACCATTCTGGAGTCTAGAGGACAGTGGCCCTCTTCTCACAGCTCCACTAGGCAGTGCTTCAGTGGAGAGCCTCTGTGCACCCACAGCCTCAACACCAAGAAGAAGTTGCCAAGGCTTGGGACTTGAACCCTCTGAAGCCATGACCAGCGCTTACCTTGGCCCCTTTTTTTTTTTTTTTGAGATGCAGCCTCGCTCTTTCGCCCAGGCTGGAGTGCAGTGGCATGATCTCTGCTCACTGCAAGCTCCACCTCCCAGGTTCATGCCATTAGTCCGCCTCAGCCTCCCTCCCGAGTAGCTGGGACTACTACACCCGCCACCACACGTGGCTAATTTTTTTGTATTTTTAGTAGAGACGGGATTTCACCATGTTAACCAGGATGGTCTAGATCTCCTGCCCTCGTGATCTGCCCGCCTCGGCCTCCCAAAGTGCTGGGATAACAGTCGTGAGCCACCACTGCCGGCCACCTTCACCCTTTTAAGTCGTGACTGGAGTGGCTGGGATGCAGGGCACCAAGTCACTAGACTACACACAGCAGAGGGACCCTGGGACTGGCCCAGGAAACCGTTTTTTTTTTTTTTTTTTCCTCATAGGCTTCTGGGTCTCTGATGGGAGGGGCTGCTGCAAAGGTCTCTGATATGCCCTGGAGACATTTTCCACAGTGTCTTCGTGATTAACATTGGGCTTCTCATTACTTATGCAGATTTCTGCAGCTGACTTGAATTTCTCCTCAGAAAATGGGATTTTCTTTTCTATTGCATTGTCAGGCTGCAAATTTTACAAAGTATTAGGCTCTATTTCCCTTTTAAAACAGTGCCTTTACCAGCAACCAAGTCACCTCCTGAATGCTTTGCTGCTTAGAAACTACTTCTGCCAGATATTCTAAATCGTCTCTCTCAAGTTCAAAGTTTCACTAACCTCTATGGCAGGGGCAAAAATGCTGCCAGTTTTTTTATGAAAACATAGAAAAGGGTCACCTTTGCTCCAGTTCCCAACAAGTTCCTCATCTCCATCTGAAACTACTTCAGCCTGGATTTCATTGCCCGTGTCATTATCAGCAACTTGTTCAAAGCCATTTAACAAATCTCTAGGAAGTTCCAAACTGTTCCATATTTTCCTGTCTTCTTCTGAGCCTTCCAAACTGTTTCAACTTCTGTCTGTAACCCAGTTCCAAAGTCGCTTCCACATTTTCAGGTAACTTTTTAGTAGAGCTCCATTCTTGGTACCAATTTACTGCATTAGTCTGTTTTTTACGCTGCTGATAAAGACATACATGAGATGGGATAATTTATAAAGAAAAAGAGGTTTAATGAACTCACAGCTCCACGTGGCTGGGGAGGCCTCACAATCATGGCAAAAGCTGAAAGGCACAACTTACATGGCAGCATACAGGAGAGAGATTGAGATCCAAGTGAAAGGGGTTTCCCCTTCTAAAACCATCAGATCTTGTGAGACTTTTTCATTCCCTACCATGAGAACAGTACTGGGGCCACAGCCCCCAGGATTTAATTATATCCCACTGGCTCTCTCCCACAACATGTGGGAATTATGGGAGCTAAAATTCAAGATGAGATTTGGGTGAGGACACAGCCAAACCATATCAGACCCCTATAACCAGGAAGGGCTAAGGTAACTTCTGCATATTTGTAGTAAATACCAGGATGTTTAGAAGCCATATCTGAACTTTGTGTCAGAAATTTTTTACATATTCCTCTTGTAGGGCCTCTGAGCCCAAGCCAAGCCATCGCATCCCCTGTGACTTGCAGTTATACGCCCAGATGGCCTGAAGTAACTGAAGAATCACAAAAGAAGTGAATATGCCCTGCCCCGCCTTAACTGATGACATTCCACCACAAAAGAAGTATAAATGGCTGGTCCTTGCCTTAAGTGATGACATTACCTGGTGAAAGTCCTTTTCCTGGCTCATCCTGGCTCAAAAAGCACCCCCACTGAGCACCTTGTGACCCCCACTCCTCCCTGCCAGAGAACAAATCCCCTTTGACTGTAATTTTCCTTTACCTACCCAAATCCTATAAAACAGCCCCACCCTTATCTCCCTTCGTTGACTCTCTTTTTGGACTCAGCCGGCCTGCACCCAGGTGAAATAAACAGCCATGTTGCTCACACAAAGCCTGTTTGGTGGTCTCTTCACACGGACGCACATGAAATTTGGTGCCGTGACTCGGACTGGGGGACCTCCCTTGGGAGATCAATCCCCTGTACTCCTGTTCTTTGCTCCATGAGAAAGATCCACCTACGACCTCAGGTCCTCAGACCGACCAGCCCAAGAAACATCTCACCAATTTCAAATCCGGTAAGCGGCCTCTTTTTAATCTCTTCTCCAACCTCTCTCACTATCCCTCAACCTCTTTCTCCTTTCAGTCTTGGGGCCACACTTCAATCTCTCCCTTCTCTTAATTTCAATTCCTTTCATTTTCCAGTAGAGACAAAGGAGACATGTTTTATCCGTGGACCCAAAACTTTGGCGCCAGTCACGGACTGGGAAGGCAGCCTTCCCTTGGTGTTTAATCATTGCAGGGACACCTCTCTGATTATTCACCCACATTTCAAAGGTGTCAGACCACGCAGGGATGCCTGTCTTGGTCCTTCACCCTTAGCGGCAAGTCCCACTTTTCTGGGGAAGGGGCAAGTACCCCAACCCCTTCTCTCCTTGTCTCTACCCCTTCTCTGCTTTTCTGGGGAAGGGGCAAGTACCCCTCAACCCCTTCTCCTTCACCCTTAGCGGCAAGTCCTGCTTTCCTGGGGCAGGGGCAAGTACCCCTCAACCTCTTCTCCTTCACCCTTAGCGGCAAGTCCGGCTTTTCTGAGGGAGGGGCAAGTACCCCTCAACCCCCTCTCTTTCACCCTTAGTGGCAAGTCCCACTTTTCTAGGGGGCAAGAACCCCCAATCCCTTATTTCTGTACCCCAACCTCATATCTCTGTACCCCAATCCCTTATTGCTGTGCCCCAACCCCTTATTTCCATGCCCTGACCCCTTATTTCCATGCCCCAACCCCTTATTTCTGCACCCCATCCCTTATTTCCACACCCCAACCTCTTATCTGTGCGCCCCAACCCCTTTTCCCACTTTTCTGGAAGATAAGAACCTCCAAACCCCTTCTCTCCATTTCTCTACTCTCTCTTTTCTCTAGGCTTGCTTCCTTCACTATAGGCAACATTCCACCCTCCATTCCTCCTCCTACTCCCTTGGCCTGTGTTCTCAAAAACTTAAAACCTCTTCAACTCACACCTGACCTAAAACCTAAATGCCTTATTTTCTTCTGCAATGCCGCTTGACCCCAATACAAACTCGACAGTAGTTCCAAATAGCCAGAAAATGGCACTTTGAATTTTTCCATCCTGCAAGATCTAAATAATTCTTGTCGTAAAATAGGCAAATGGTCTGAGGTGCCTGATGTCCAGGCATTCTTTTACACATCAGTCCCTTCCTAGTCTCTGTGCCCAGTGCAACTCATCCCAAATCTTCCTTCTTTCCCTCCCGCCTGTCCCCTCAGTCCCAACCCCAAGCATCGCTGAGTCTTTCTAATCTTCCTTTTCTACAGACCCATCTGACCTCTCCCCTCCTCGCCAGGCCGAGCTAGGTCCCAATTCTTCCTCAGCCTCCGCTCCTCCACCCTATAATCTTTTTATCGCCTCCCCTCCTCACACCTGGTCGGGCTTACAGTTTCGTTCTGTGACTAGCCCTCCCCCACCTGCCCAGCAATTTACTCTTAAAAAGGTGGCTGGAGCCAAAGGCATAGTCAAGGTTAATGCTCCTTTTTCTTTATCCCAAATCAGAAGCGTTTAGGCTCTTTTTCATCAAATGTAAAAATCCAGCCCAGTTCATGGCTCGTTTGGCAGCAACCCTGAGACGATTTACAGCCCTAGACCCTAAAAGGTCAAAAGGCTGTCTTATTCTCAATATACATTTTATTACCCAATCTGTTCCCGACATTAAATAAAACCCCATAAATTGGAATCTGGCCCTCAAACCCCACAACAGGACTTAATTAACCTCACCTTCAAGGTGTACAATAACAGAAAAAATTGCAATTCCTTGCCTCCACTGTGAGACAAACCCCAGCCACATCTCCAGCACACAAGAACTTCCAAACGCCTGAACCGCAGCAGCCAGGCGTTCCTCCAGAATCTCCTCCCCCAGGAGCTTGCTACACGTGCCGGAAATCTGGCCACTGGGCCAAGGAATGCCCACAGCCCGGGATTCCTCCTAAACCTTGTCCCATCTGTGTGGGACCCCACTGAAAATCGGACTGTTCAACTCACCTGGTAGCCACTCCCAGAGCCCCTGGAACTCTGGCCCAAGGCTCTCTGACTGACTCCTTCCCAGATCTTCTCAGCTTAGCGGCTGAAGACTGAGACTGCCCGATCGCCTCGGAAGCACCCTAGACCATCACGGACGCCGAGCTTCAGGTAACTCTCACAGTGGAAGGTAAGCCCGTCCCCTTCTTAGTCAATACAGATGCTACCCACTCCACATTACCTTCTTTTCAAGGGACTGTTCCCCTTGCCTCCATAACTGTTGTGGGTATTGACGGCCAGACTTCTAAACCTCTTAAAACTCCCCAACTCTGGGGCCAACTTAGACAATACTCTTTTAAGCACTCCTTTTTCGTTATCCCCACCTGCCCAGTTCCCTTATTAGGCTGAGACACTTTAAATTATCTGCTTCCCTGACTATTCCTGGACTACAGCTATATCTCATTGCCTCCCTTCTTCCCAATCCAAAGCCTCCTTTGCGTCCTCCTCTTGTATTCCCCAACCTTAACCCACAAGTATAACTCTACTCCCTCCTTGGCGACCGATCATGCACCCCTTACCATCTCATTAAAACCTAATCACCCTTACCCCACTCAACGCCAATATCCCATCCCACAGCACGCTTTAAAAAAGATTAAAGCCTGTTATCACTCGCCTGCTACAGCATGGCCTTTGAAAGCCTATAAACTCTCCTTACAATTCCCCCATTTTACCTGTCCTAAAACCAGACAAGCCTTACAAGTTAGTTCAGGATCTGCACCTTATTAACCAAATTGTTTTGCCTATCCACCTCGTGGTGCCAAACCCATATATTCTCCTATCCTCAATACCTGCCTCTACAACCCATTATTCTGTTCTGGATCTCAAACATGCTTTCTTTACTATTCCTTTGCACCCTTAATCCCAGCCTCTCTTCGCTTTCACTTGGACTGACCCTGACACCCATCAAGCTCAGCAAATTACCTAGGCTGTACTGCTGCAAAGCTTCACAGACAGCCCCCATTACTTCAATCAAGCCCAAATTTCTTCCTCATCTGTTACCTATCTCGGCATAATTCTCATAAAAATACATGTGCTCTCCCTGCCAATCGTGTGGGACTGATCTCTCAAACCCCAGCACCTTCTACAAAACAACAACTACTTTCCTTCCTAGGCATGGTTAGTGCGGTCAGAATTCTTACACAAGAGCCAGGACCACACCCTGTAGCCTTTCTGTCCAAACAACTTGACCTTACTGTTTTGGCCTAGCCCTCATGTCTGCGTGCAGTGGCTGCTGCTGCTTTAATACTTTTAGAGGCCCTCAAAATCACAAACTATGCTCAACTCACTCCCTACATTTCTCATAACTTCCAAAATCTATTTTCTTCCTCATACCTGACGCATATACTTTCTGCTCCCCGGCTCCTTCAGCTGTACTCACTCTTTGTTAAAACCCACAGTTATCATTGTTCCTGGCCCAGACTTCAATCCGGCCTCCCACATTATTCCTGATACCACACCTGACCCCCATGACTGTATCTCTCTGATCCACCTGACATTCACCCTATTTCCCCATATTTCCTTCTTTCCTGTTCCTCACCCTGATCACGCTTGATTTATTGATGGCGGTTCCACCAGGCCTAATCACCACACACCAGCAAAGGCAGGTTATGCTATAGTACAAGCCACTAGCCCGCCTCTTAGAACCTCTCATTTCCTTTCCATCGTGGAAATCTATCCTCAAGGAAATAACTTCTCAGTGTTCCATCTGCTATTCTACTACTACTCAAGGATTATTCAGGCCCCCTCCCTTCCCTACACATCAAGCTCGAGGATTTGCCCCCACCCAGGACTGGCAAATTAGCTTTACTCAACATGCCCGAGTCAGGAAACTAAAATACCTCTTAGTCTAAGTAGACACTTTCACTGAATAAGTAAAGTCCTTTCCTACAGGGTCTGAGAAGGCCATCGCAGTCATTTCTTCCCTTCTGTCAGACATAATTCCTCAGTTTAGCCTTCTCACCTCAATACAGTCTGATAACAGACGAGCCTTTATTAGTCAAATCAGCCAAGCAGTTTTTCAGGCTGTTAGTATTCAGTGAAACCTTTATATCCCTTATGGTCCTCCGTCTTCAAGAAAAGTAGAATGGACTAAAGGTCTTTTAAAAACACACCTCACCAAGCTCAGCCACCAAAAAGGACTGGACAATACTTTTACCACTTTTCCTCCTCAGAATTCAGGCCTGTCCTCGGAATGCTACAGGGTACAGCCCATTTAAGCTCCTGTATAGACGCTCCTTTTTATTAGGCCCCAGTCTCATTCCAGACACCAGACCAACTTAGACTGTGCCCCAAAAAACTTGTCATCCCTACTATCTTCTGTCTAGTCACACTCCTATTCACCATTCTCAACTACTCATACATGCCCTGCTCTTGTTTACACTGCCGGTTTACACTGTTTTTCCAAGCCATCACAGCTGATATCTTCTGGTGCTATCCCCAAACTGCCACTCTTAACTCTTGAAGTAAATAAATAATCTTTGCTGGCAGGACTATGCTGAATCTCCTTAGGCACTCTCTAATCAGATATCCTGAGTCGTCCCAATTCTTAGACCTTTTATACCTGTTTTTCTCCTTCTGTTATTCCATTTAGTTTCTCAATTCATCCAAAACTGTATCCAGGCCATCACCAATCATTCTATATGACAAATATTTCTTCTAACATCCCTGCAATATCACCTCTTACCACAAGACCTCCCTTCAGCTTAATCTCTCCCACTCTAGGTTCCCACGCCACCCCTAATCCCGCTTGAAGCAGCCCTGAGAAACATCGCCCATTCTCTCTCCATACCAACCCCCCAAAATTTTTGCCACCCCAACACTTCAACACTATTTTGTTTTATTTTTCTTATTAATATAAGAAGGCAGGAATGTCAGGCCTCTGAGCCCAAGCCAAGCCATTGTATCCCCTGTGACTTGCAGTTATACACCCAGATGGCCTGAAGTAACTGAAGAATCACAAAAGAAGTGAATATGCCCTGCCCCGCCTTAACTGATGACATTCCACCACAAAAGAAGTGTAAATGGCCGGTCCTTGCCTTAAGTGATGACATTACCTTGTGAAAGTCCTTTTCCTGGCTCATCCTGGCTCAAAAAGCACCCCCACTGAGCACCTTGTGACCCCCACTCCTGCCCTCCAGAGAACAAACCCCCTTTCACTGTAATTTTCCTTTACCTACCCAAATCCTATAAGACAGCCCCACCCTTATCTGCTTTTGCTGACTCTCTTTTCGGACTCAGCCCGCCTGCACCCAGGTGAAATAAACAGCCATGTTGCTCACACAAAGCCTGTTTGGTGGTCTCTTCACAGGGACACGCATGAAACCTCTCTAGGCTTTTCATTGTGTGTATTACCACAGCAGTCACAAACTCAGATACATCACATTAGCAGAAAACAAAGAACTGAACATCAAAAATGCACACTATGATTTTTAAATACTAAATATAAAAATGCCTTCACTTTGAAAGCTATAAAATGAGCATTTAAAAATATTCTTGCAAATAAGTTGAAGTGGAGATATCATTTGAAATGATGCAACTACTATATTTTTTATTTCCTGTAATTTCACACATTGGTACAAATGTCAAATCTTTCTTTCTCTTGTCACACATTTTCTCTTTCTTCTAGCTTTGTGCCACACAACCTCTTCCCTTCCTCCAGGAAGAGTCTATATATTAAGCTAGGAACATTTGTTTATTTCCAGAACAAGTTGGTAAAGGGGCAAAAAAAAAAAAAAAAAAAAAAAGATGTAAAATCAGAATTGAACCATATTTCCAAATTTGAGACAGAAAGTTGAAAACATTGGCCAAAAGCCCTATCTAATTCTGAACATGCATTCATCTCCTTGATTTAAAATATATTATCAAAGATATTTGATTTGCTTTGTATTTGAAATTAATTTTCTAGAGAATTTTTTAAATATAATAATTTCCGTATCACCTTTTGTTTCACTATCACTACAATTCCCCTGAACAAAATTAATCTCTATTCTCTTCAGATTACTTTGCTGGCTGGTAGCAAAGTGCTGATTTTCAGCAGGATAATATTTACAATGTTAATTGATTATTTGCTTTTAAACATCCTTTTCATTTCCTCTTCCATGTTCAGTTTGCTCATATCTTTTTTCTCTCTCAATATAACAGTGAATGAATAGCACGATAGAATACAAAACTGCTTATCCTTGACTTTTTACTGAAAAAAGAGTTTGGAAAAACAAACATTTTTTTTTCAATATCAAAACCAGCATACTGAAGTGAAAATAAATAATGTTTATATCAGACGTAAGAAACTGAGAATATCACAGACTATGAGGAAATAAAAGTAATATCTTGTTGGGAAATTGTTGTAAGCTAGTGATAAAGAGAGCTAAATTTCTTCCATTTATCCTTCCCACCTCCACTTGCTCCCAGGGTAATGCCTACAGCATGCAGAAAGGAGTAGGGGGAAATATACATCCAAAAAACGTGAAACAAAAACTTTTAGGAAAATGTATATCAGAATAGGACAGTTCTGCACTTCTGGGTAGAATTTGGGGAAGCAGCAAAGCTGTGCACTCATCATGACTCAGAGATAGCAGAAGCAGGAGATTTGAGATGGCAGACATGTCCTCAGATGAGAGTAACTATTTCCTACATATCAATGAGAGAGGGGCTAAGCAGTCTGGAAAGAACTTTTAGTGAAGAAGGTATACTGCAGTCTAAAATAAAGATTTCTCACAAATATCATTAGATGATGAACGAGGACAAAGATTCTCCCCTGTTCAAAAACAAAATAAACATATTACTTGATTTTCCTTAATGGCTTTGTAGATTATTCTGTCCTATCCAGAATGGGATGATGAGAAACACTAAAATTTATTTATTGAGACTAAGTTTCACAGACTGGGGGAAGAAAGATTCTAAGTAAAATTCAGACTCACTTACTGAAATAAAAAATATAATTTCTTCCATATCTATATTTATGAAATGAAATATTTTAACTGCTATATTCAGAAATTTAGGCAATTAAACATTAAACGCTAATACTGTTGATAAAAAATGTTAATGTTGAAAAATATACTTTGATGTAATGTGTCTAACTAGTACATGAGCATGGCATTATGTGTAAGGCACAAAATTCAGTGTTTAAGAGGAATTTACTTACTTCAAAGAGTAATAATTATAAGTCACGTAAAGAAAGAAGTCACAAAATGTTCTTTTTTTTTTTTTTTTTTTTTTGAGATGGAGTCTCGCTGTCTCACCCAGGCTGGAGTACAGTGGTGCGATCTTGGCTCAGTGCAACCTCTGCCTTCCAAGTTCAAGTGATTCTTGTGCCTCAGCCCCCAAGAAGCTGGGATTACAGGTGTGCATCACCATGCCCAGCTAATTTTTTTATATTTATAGTAGAGACATGATTTCCCCAAGTTGGCCAGGCTGGTCTCGAACTCCTGACCTGAAGTGTTCTACATGCCTCAGCCTCCCAAAGTGCTGGGATTACAGGCGTGAGCCACCACACCTGGCCAGAAGTCACAAAATATTCTATATACGATTAGTTATTTTTAAAATTACAAGAGATATCAAAAATATATTTAAAAATTAAAATTAGCTAAAATTTGTTATATTAATCTGCTTAGGCTGTGATAACAAAATATCAGAGACTGTGTGGATTAAACAACAGATATTTATTTTCCCATAGTTTTGAAGTCTAGAACTTCCAGATCAAAGTCTGGCAGAGATGATTTCTGTTTAGAGCCCTCTTTTTTATTCACAGACAACCACATTCTTACTACATCCTCACATGGCCTGGCCTTATTTACATATGTAGGTTAAGAGAAAATTTTCTGATTTCTGTTCTCTATGGATATTAATTGATATTGTGTGGATATTTTTTCCTTCCAAATCTTACGAGTTGTGATTCCTAGTGTTGGAAGTGGGGCCTGGTGGGAGGTGATTGGATCATGAAGGCAGATCCCTCATGAATGGCTAAGCACCATCCCCTTGGTGACAAGTGAGTTCTCACTCTGATTTCATGCAGTATGTGTTTGTTAAAAAGAGCATGGTATTTCCCCACTCTCTCTTTTACTCTCATTCTCGCTGTGTGGTATACCAGCTCCCCTTTCTACCATAACTGTAAGCTTCCTGAGGCCTTTGCCAGAATTAGATACTTCTGTATAGCCTGCAGAACCATGGGCCCATACTTCCTGTGAGCCTGCAGAGCTGTGGACCAATGAAGCTTCTATTTCTTTATAAATTACCCAGTCTCAGGTATTTCTTTATAGCAACACAAATAGCCTAACACAAAAAATTGGTACTCGAAGTGAAACATTGCTAAAAAGATATCTGAACATGTGAAAGCAGCTTTGGAACTGGGTAATGGGCAGAGGTTGGAAGAGTTTGGAGGACTCAGAAGAAGACAGGAAGATAAGAAAAAGTTTAGAACTTCTTAGAGACTGCAAAAATGATTGGGACCAAAATGCTGATAAAATATGGCCAGTGATGGCTAGGCTGATGAGGTCTCAGATGGAAAAAAGGAAGTAATACGGAATTGGAGTAAAAGTCACCTATGTTACACCCTTGCAAAGAGCTTGGCTGCATTGTGTCCACATCCTAGGAATCTGTGTAAGTCTGAACTTAAAAATGATGATTTAAGTTATTTGGTGGAAAAAACTTCAAACCAGCAAAGCATTCAAGAAGCACTGCAGCTGCTTCTAACAACCTACAATCATAGATGGGGGCAAAACATGTTAGAACTTATATATAACAGAGAAGCAAATCGTAAAAACTTGGAAAATGTGCACCCTGGCTGTTTGATAGAAAAGGAATAGGCATTTTTCAGGAGAGAAATACAAGTGGGATGCAGGGCAACCACTTGCTAGAGAGAGTAGCATGACTAAAAAAGAGCAACGTGCTAACATACAAAACAATGAGAAAAAGGCCTCAGAGGCATTTTCTGGGATATTCAAGGCAGCACCTCTTAGGACAGGTCTAGAGGGCTAGAAGGAAAAAATAAAAGGCTTCAGGGACTAGGCCCATGACCCCATTGCCCTGCACAGCCTCAGGAAACTGTTCCCATCATCCCAGCTGCTGTAGCTCTAGCAGTGGTTCAAAGGTCCCCAGGTACAGTGTGGACCAACACTCCAGAAGGTACAAACCATAAGTCTTGGCAGCTTCCACATTTTATTAAGTCTGCAGGCACACAGCATGCAAGCATGAAGGAGGCTTGGAAGCTTCCCCTAGGTTTCAGAGAATGTGTAAGTAGCCTGGGTTCCCAGACAGAAGCCTGCCAGAGGGGCAGAACCCTCACATAGAACCTCTATTAGGACAGGGTGAAGGGGAAATGTGGGGTTCGAGCCCCCAAACAGAGTCCCCACCAGTGTACTTCCTAGTGGAGCTGAGGGAAGCCCTTCAGATTCCAGAATGGTAGAGCCACAAGCAGTTTGCATTCTTGTCTAGAAAAGCCACAGGTACTCAACTCCAAACTGTAAGAGCAGCCATGGGGGCTGCACCCTGCAATGCCAGAGGAGGGGAGCTACCCAAGGCCTCAGGAGCCCACCCTTTGCACTGGTGTACCCTAGATTTGGGATGTGGAGTCAAAGGAGATTATTTTGTAGCTTTAAAATTTAATGACTGGCCTGCTGGATTTCAGACTTGTGTAGGGCCTGCAGTCACTTTCTTAAGTCCAATTTCTCCCTTTTGGAGAGGGAATCTTTACCCAATGCCTGTACCACCATTGTGTCTTGAAATTAAATGACTTGTTTTGAACTTTCAGGTTCAGAGGGGGAAGAAACTTGGCCTTGAGTTGCAGATGAGACTTTGGACTTTTGATTTAGTCGATGCTGAAATGAGTTAGGACTTTGGAAGACTATTGGGAAGGGATGATTGTATTTTGAAACTTGATAAGGACTTGAGATTTGAAGGGCAAGGGTTAAATAATATAGTTTGGATGTTTGTCCTCTCCATGTCTCATGTTGAGATGTGATTCCCAGTCTTGGAAGTGGGGCCTGGTGGAAGGTGATTGGATCATGGGGATGAATCCCTCATGAATGGCTTAGCACCATCCTCTTGGTGATATGTGAGTTCTCACTTTGAGTTCATATAAAATTTGATTGTTTAAAAGAGTGTGGCACTTCCCCTTCTTTTTGCTCCTGCTCTCACCGTTTGATACAACTCCCCTTTCACCTTTTGCCATGATTCTAAGCTTCCTGAGGTCCTCACCAGAAACAGAGGCTGGCACCATGCTTTCTGTACAGCCTG
This sequence comes from Homo sapiens, assembly GCF_000001405.40. Classification (NCBI taxonomy): domain Eukaryota; kingdom Metazoa; phylum Chordata; class Mammalia; order Primates; family Hominidae; genus Homo; species Homo sapiens. The sequence continues at coordinate 88,507,908 of NC_000013.11, read as the reverse complement.
TGGAACTGTAAGCCAATTAAACCTCTTTTCTTTTTAAATTACCCAGTCTCAGATATTCCTCAATAGGGATACAAATTGCCTAACACACTAGTCTTATCAAATCAGGGCCCACTCTTGTGACCTCATTTAATCATAATTATGTCCTTACTCTAAATATAGACACACTGAAGTTTATAACTTCAGCATATGAATTCTGGCAAAACACAATATTCAGTCCATAACAGTCACCATCCTGAGATGAAATACAATAAACATAATTTTTTCATGAATTCTATAACATACCTTATGTTATATTACACCTGAATTTTTTGTGTTTTTGTTTTGTTTTGTTTTGAACTTGGGCACATATATTTACTGAAATGTATAAGGGCATTTTTTATTGACTTAGTTCTGCATGGCAGAGGAAACCTCAGGAAACTTACAATCATGGTGGAAGGCACCTCTTCACAAGGTGGCAGGGGAGAGAATGAGTGCTAGCAGGGGAAATGTCAGATATTTATAAAGCCATCATATCTCATGAGAACTCACTGGCTATCATGAGAACAGCATGGGGGAAACTGTCCCCATGATTCAATTACCTCCCACTGGCTACCTCCTATGATACATGGGGATTATGGGGATTAAAATCCAAGATGAGATTTGGGTGGGGAGACAGGCAAACCATATCATTCCATGCCTGGCCCCTCCCAAATCTCATGTTCTTATATTTTGAAACACAATCATGCCTTCCCAATGGTCCCCCAAAGTCTTAACTCATTACAGCATTAAACCAAAGTCCAAATCCAAAGTCTTATCTGAAACAAGGCAAGTCCCTTCTGCCTATGGGCACGTAAAATGAAAACCAAGTTATTAACTTCCTAGATACAATGGGAATATAGGCATTGGGTAAATACATCTATTCCAAGTGAGAAACTGGTCAAAAGAAAGGGGCTACAAGGCCCCATGCAGGTCTGAAATCCAACAGGGCAGTCATTAAACCTTAAAGTTCTGAAATAATCTTCTCTATGTCTCATATCCAAGTCATGCTGATACAACAGGTGAGCTCCTATGGCCTTGGGCAAAACCATCCCTGTGGCTTTGAAGAGTACTGTCCCCTTCCTGGCTGCTTTCACAACTGTCATTGAGTGTCTGCAGGTTTTCCAGGCACATGGTGCAAGCTGTCAGTGGATGTACCATTCTGGGGTCTGGAGGATGGTGGCCCTCTTCTCACAGCTCCACTAGGCAGTGCTCCAGTGGGGATTCTGTGGGGGGGCTCTAACCCAGGTTTTCCTTCTGCACTGCCCTAGCAGAGGTTTTCCATGAGGACACCATCACTGCAGAAGACTTCTGCCTGAACATCCAGGAACTTCCATATATCCTCTGAAACCTAAGTGGAGGTTCTCAAACCTCAATTCTTGTCTTCTGTGCACCTGTAGGACCAACACCATGTGAAAACTGCCAAGGCTTTGGGCCTGCATCCTCTGAAATAATGGCCTGAGCTGTACCATGCCCCCTTTTAGCCACAGCTGGAGCAGTTGAGACACAGAGCACCAGGTCCTAAGGCTGCACATGGCAGGGAGACACTAGACTGGGCCCAGGAAACTATATTTTCCTCCTAGGCCTCCATGCCTCTGATGGAAGGGGCTGCCATGAATGTCTCTAACGTGCCCTGGAAACATTTTCCCTATTGCCTTGGCAATTAGCATTTGACTTCTCGTTACTTATGCAAATTTCTGCAGCTGGCTTGAATTTCTTCCCAGACAATGAATTTTTCTATTCAACTGCATTGTCAGGCTGCAAATTTTCTAAACTTTTATGCTCTGTCACCTCTTGAGTGCTTTGCTGCATAGAAATTTCTTCCTCCAGATACCATACATCATCTTTCTCAAGTTCAAAGTTCCACATATCTCTAGGGCAGGGACAAAATGCCACCAATCTCTTTGTTAAAGCATAGCAATAGTCAATTCTGTTCCATTTCCCAACAAGTTCCTCATCTCACTATCAGCATTTTGGTCAAAGCCATTCAACAAGTCTCTAGGAAGCTCTAAACTTTCCCACATCTTTCTGTCTTCTTCCGAGCCCTCCAAAATGTTCCAACCTCTGCCTGTTACCTAGTTCCAAAGTTGCTTCCACATTTTTGGGTATCTTTGTATCAGCACCCTACTACGTCGGTACCAATTTACTGTATTAGTTTGTTCTGACACTGTTATGAAAAAAATACCTGAGAGACAGGAATTTCTAAAGAAAATAGGTTTAATTGACTTCCACGTGGCTGAGGAGACCTCAGGAAATTTACAATCATGGTGAAAGGCACCTTTTCACAGGGCAGCTGGAGAGAGAATGAGTATCAGCAGGGGAAAGCTAGATACTTACCAAACCATCAGATTTTGTGACAAGTCACTCACTATCACAAGAGCAGCATGGGGGAAACTGCCCCCATGATTCACTTACCTCCCACTGGGTCCCTCTCATGACATGTGGGGATTACAATTCAACATGAGATTTGAGGGGGGACACAGCCAAACCTTATCTATCAAATAGATAAGCCACTAGTTAGACTAATAAAGAAGAAAAGAGAAAATTCAAATAAACAGAATCAGAAATGACAAGGAGAATATTAACACTAACCCCACAAAAATGCAACCATCAGAGAATATTATGAACACCTCTATGCACATAAGCTAGAAAATCTAGAAAAAAATGGATAAATTCCTGGACACAAGCCAGAAGAAATTGAATCCCTAAACAGATGAATAATGAGCTCTGAAATTGAGGCAGTAATAAATAGCCTACAAACAAACAAATAACAACAACAACAACAACAAAAAGCCCAGAACCAGATGAATTTACAGCTCAATTCTATCAGATGAACAAAAAAGAGCTGATACCATTTCTGAAACTATTCAAAAAAATTGAGGATGAGGCATTCTTCTTTAACTCATTCTATTGTATGAAGCCAGCCTCATCCTGATAACAAAATCTGACCAAGATACAACAAAAAAAGAAAACTTCAGACTAATATCCTAGATGATCATCAATGCAAAACTCCTCAACAAAATACTGGCAAACCAAATCTAGCAGCACATCAAAAAGCTTATCCACTACTATCAAGTAGGCTTTATCCCTGGGATGCAATGTTCGTTCAATATACACAAATTAATAAATGTGATTTATCAGGTAAACAGAACTAAAGCCAAAAAACACATGATTATCTCAACAGATGCAGAAAAGACTTTTGATAAAATTCAACATCTATTTATGCTAAAAACTCTTAATAAACCAGTTATTGAAGGAACATACATGACAATAATAACAGCCATCTTTGACAAACCCATGGCCAACATCATACTGAATGGGCAATAGCAGAGAGAATTCCCCTTGAAAACTGGCACAAGACAATGATGCCCTCTCTCACCACTCCTATCCAGCACAGTATTGGAAGTCCTTGCCAGGGCAATGAGGCAAGAGAAGGAAATAAAGAGCATCCAAATAGGAAGAAAGGAAGTAAAACTATCCATTTGCAGACAACATTATTCTTTATCTATGAAACCCCATAGTCTTACCAAATGCTCCTTAAGCAGATAAACAACTTCAGCAAAGTCTCAGGATACAAAGTCAATCTTCAAAAATCACTAGTGTTCCTATAAACAAACAACAGTCAAGCTGAGAACCAAATCAGGAATGGGCTCCCATTCACAATTGCCCACAAAAGAATAAAATACCTAGGAATACAGCTAACTAGGGGGGTGAAAAATCTCTACAATGAGAACTACAAACCACTGCTCACTCAAAGAAATCAAAGATGATGCAAACAAATGAAAAAAATATTCCATGGTCATGGGTAGGAAGAATCAATATCTTGAAGACGGCTAAATTGCCCAAAGCAATTTATAGATTCAAAGCTATTCCTATTATACTGCCATTGAGATTCTTCATAGAGCTAGAAAAAACTGTTTTAAAATTCATATGGAACATGAAAATAGCCCAAATAGCCACGGCAATCCTACACAAAAAGAACAAAGCTAGAGGCATCATGCGACCCCACTTCAAACTATAATACATGGTTACAGTAACCAAAACAGTCACCAAAATAGTATGACACTGGTACAAGAACAGAAACATAGAACAATGGAACAGAATAGAGAACCTAGAAATAAGACTGCACATCTATGACAGTGTCTTTTCTACTAGCATATGCATTAGATACTTGAAACCATTTTTTCATTATTTTCAGGTTAATTTTTATATTTTGACAACATTTTAAACCCTAAAATAGTTAATTATTAATATGTGTCATGTTCTTTGATTCTATAATGAAAGAACAGTATTTGGACCTTTGTTTTATCATATCTGCCATGCATGTTTTCAATGATAATCATTCATCATTTTAAACTGCCTTTTACCTTTTCTTCAGCAAAGCTGACAAAGACAAGCAATGGGGAAAGGATTCTCTATTCAGTAAATGGTGCTGGGATAACTGTCTAGCCATATGAAGAAGATTAAAACTGGACCCCTTCCTTACACCATATACAAAAATTAACTCAAAATGGATTAAAGACTTAAATGTAAAACCCAAAACTATAAAAACCTGGAAGACAACCCAGGCAATACCATTGAGGACACAGTCATGGTCAAAGATTTCATGACAAAGATGCCAAAAGCAATAGCAAGAAGAGCAAAAACTGACAAATTGAATCTAATTAAACTAAAGAGTTTCTGTACAGCAAAAGAAATTACCAACAAAGTAAACAGATGACCTACAGAATGGAAGAAAATTTTTTGCAAACCATGCATCCAAAAAAATACAGGCCGTGGCCCAAACCTGTAATCCTAGCACTTTGGGAGGCCAAGGTGGGCGGATCACCTGAGGTCAGATGTTCAAGACCAGCCTGACCAACATGGAGAAACCCCGTCTCTACTAAAAATACAAAAAAAAAAAAAATTAGCCAGGTGTGGTGGTGCATGCCTGTAATCCCAGCTACTTGGGAGACTGAGGCAGGAGAATCTCTTGAACCTGGGAGGCAGAGGCTGCAGTGAGCCAAGATTGTACCATTGCACTCAAGCCTGGGTGACAAGTGAAACTCCATCTTAAAGAAAAAAGAAAAAGTTTTCAAAAGACATGAGTAGACATTTTTCAAAAGAAGATATACATGACCCCAACAATCACTTGAAAAAAAAGCTTAACATTACTGATATTAGAGAAATGCAAATCTAAACCACAATAAGATGCCATCTAACACCAGTCAGAATGGTTATTATTAAACAACCAAAAAACAGCAGATGCTGGTGCGGTAGTGGAGAAAAAGGAACACTTATACACCTGCTAATGGGAGTGTAAATTAGTTCAACCCTTGTGGAAGACACTGTGGCAATTTCTTAAAGACCTAAAGACAGAAATACCATTCATCCAAGCAATCCCATTAGTGGGTATATACCCAAAGGAATATAAATTGTTCTACTATAAAGACACTTACATGTGTATGTTCACTTCAGCACTATTCACAATAGCAAAGACAGTGGAATCTATCCAAACACCCATCAATCATAGACTGGATGAAGAAAATGTGTATATGTGGAATATATACACCATGGAGTACCATGCAGCTTAGAAAAGAATGAGATCGCATCCTTTGCAGGTGCATGGATGGAGCTGGAGGCCATTAGCCTTAGCAAACTAAGGCAGAAAGATAAAACCAAATACTGCATGTTCTCACTTGTAAGTGGGAGCTAAATGATGAGAACACATGGATACATAGAGGGGAACAACACACACTAGGGCCTATTGCAGGGTGGGGGGTGGGAGGAGGGAGAAGATCAGAAAAAGTAACCAATTGGTACTGAGCTTACTACCTGGGTGATTAAATAATCTGTATAGGAAACCCCTATACAGATAGACATTACACAAGTCTATCTATGTAACAAGCCTGCACATATACCCCTGAACTTAAAAGTTAAAAACAAACTTTGCATTAAATATAGCTCTATAAACTCATGGCTAATCTTCGACAATATTCTTATAGTATTCAAAACATTTTCACTGACAATTTTATCCCAAAATTAGTACACGTAACTCTTTTGTGTGTTATTAAAATCTGTACATCATTTTGCCTCATCTCTAAAATTTTAGTAGTATGAAGGTATTTGGAGGAAATGTTATTTCTCTTTGTAAATAGTTAAAAGTTACTTTGGTTGTTGAGCATCAGGTCCTCTTTCAATTAAAATGTCTGTTATTTTGGGAAAGCAGCTAAACATAGATACTAATAGCATCCTCTGCACTCAGATTACATAGATGCAAATCATCACTGTGGGGAGAATTACTTAACAACTCTATTTCTTAGTTGCTTTCTCTCTAAACTGGGAACACTAATATTATTGACTTCATAGCATTTTTGTAAAGATTAAATGATGGATATTAAAATGTTGCTTGGCACATGGTAAGGAATAAAAATGAAAGGCTCTGGTTTGAATTTGTGCTAGTGAAATTCCTGCTCCGTATAGCAACTATAAGCTTTACTTTTATAAATTTGTCTCTGCTTTGAAATATATTGAAAGGTATTCACACTGGGTAAATATGACGTCTTTATAGCTGCATATGCATTTTCTGAAAAGAAAAGAAAATACATCATCCAATCGCCCTGGTGATAACTATTTATGTATAAGATGTGCCTGAATTTCAGCACTGTAAGTTATACTCTCAGGATATAAAGTAGCCATGTTTAGGAGCTAATGTAACACTCTGATACTTTCAAAATTTACTATTTCAGTGAAATCTTAGTTCTTGTGTGCATGTGGAAGTTAATTTGCTTGTTGTACAGTGTCTTTTCTACTAGCATATGTATTACTTAAAACCATTTTTTCATTATTTTCAGATTAATATTTATAATTTGACAACATTTTAAACCCTAAAATAGTTAATTATTAATTTGTATCATATTCTTTGATTCTATAATGAAAGAACAGTATTTGGACCTTTGTTTTATCATATCTGCCATGTATGTTTTCAATGATAATCGTTCATCATTTTAAACTGCCTTTCACCTTTTCTCAAGATCCATTCCAAAGTAATCTTTAGAGCAGAGCTGCCTGGTCTTTTGTATCCTCACCTCAGTATATGAATTGGTAAACTCTACCCCATCTTCAGCATGTGAGCTGCATAACAGATTCTTTAATTAATATGAAAATCTGACAGGAGTATTGTGCAAATTTTATCTACAAGGGATGATTAATGAGGTTTTGACTGACAACAATTAAAGAAAAAAACTAAGACTCATTGGTTTAAGTACAGGGTCTATCAAAAGTGACTTATAGGCTACTAAATTTAACACTAATGAGAATTTTATTAAAGTTTCTAAAAAATCGGAATTCCAAGTTTTCATAAAAAGGAAATGATTCCTGGATTCTAAGTACTAATACAGCTTATTGTTATGGGTAGTATAAACATGGATTTAACTGTGATATATTTAAAACTAGTCAAAAATAAATTTATCATGAGTTACTACAAATCATGCTTATATTTACTACAAGTTATTTATAAAATACTGATCCACAAATAAATAGTTTCTATATTGTGTATGCCTGTGCATGTAAAATATCTATCCATTAAAAAAATGGTGATGAAGAGGTGCTACACAGAAGTTATCACTTTTCAATACTGTACCACTATTCAGAGACTGAGAAACCAGCTCTGTGTGTGTGTGTGTGTGTGTGTGTGTGTGTGTGTTGGAGTTGGCTTATCCCTTAGATTTCATCAAATACAAGCTTTGTATTCCCACAACTGAATTTAATAACATATATTAGGTTGGTGCAAAAGTAATTGCAGTTTTTCCATTAAAAGCAATGGCAAATACCACAATCACTTTTGCACCAGCCTAGGGATTCCCCCCACCTTTTTTTTTTTTTTTTTTTGAGATGGAGTCACGCTCTGTTGCCCAGGCTGGAGTGCAGTGGTGTGATCTCGGCTCACTGCAAGCTCCGCCTCCTGGGTTCACGCCATTCTCCTGCCTCAGCCTCCTGAGTAGCTGGTACTACAAGCGCCCGCCACCTCGCCCAGCTAATTTTTTGTATTTTTAGTAGAGACGGGGTGTCACCATGTTAGCTAGGATGGCCTCGATCTCCTGACCTCGTGATCCGCCCGCCTCGGCCTCCCAAAGTGCTGGGATTACAGACGTGAGCCACCGCACCCGGCCCCACCTTCTTTTTTTTTTTTTTGAGAGAGAGTCTGGCTCCTTTCCCCAGACTGGAGTGCCGTGGTGCCATCTTGGCTCACTGCAAACTCCGCCTCTGAGGTTCAAGCGATTTTCATGCCTTGACCTCTGGAATAGTAGCTGGAATTACAGGCGTGCACCACCACGCCCAGCAATCCAATACGTATAACTTGGTGTCAGTCATAGATTAGGCAGGTGAAAAATAATGGTTTGAATGACTTAAAATATATTTCTCAGTAACACAAAAAGTACTTTATTGGAAGATATCAAGATAAAAAAGGGACCTCTTTACAAAACAGTGAATATTAAATTTGATAGTGTCTTATTGTCAATTTTTAATATAGACCTGGCTAGCGATTAAGCACCACGTGGTCATTCCTCATGTTTCTTTATTTTCTCTACTTACTTTGGATGGCAGTGCTGACAGTCATGCAAAAGCAGCTGTAAAATACAAACTCAATTTTTTAAAAAAGGCAGAGAAAATCCTCAGAAAAATTAAATAAATTGTGTGCATGTGTGACGTGCATACACAAAGTGCTTTTCTTAACTAATTTTCATTTCTGAATGGTACTATTACCTTCTAATCAAGAATGAACTATTAGAATTGACATCTGGCTATTAGTGCATATTATCTACCAATAGTATAGAATATGATATTAAAAAGTTTAATCAAATGTGCTTATACAACATATATTTATCTCTCTAAATTTTACTACTCACTACATGAAGTTCAATTCCCAACATGTAAAATTAGAATTTGCATATGATTTTATGCAAATGAAATTATCCAAAAAAATCAATATCCCATATTCTTAGCATTTCATATAAATAAAAGTTGTATGTAATTTAATAATATATCACTCTTTCATTGACATGTGAAAGAATAATGTAATAATGTAAATTTCCAACATTTAAACATATTTAGGTGTAAGTAAATATATTATGGAACATTTTAGTGTGCAGTGGAGCTATGTCATTTGGATTTAAGTTAAAAATAATGACTACTAAAACACAGTGAAGCAAATAAATTTTTTTATAAATTAAAAATATGAGTTACAAATCATATATTCACTTGATCAAAATTTACACTTATGCATTTGAACATTAAATTGATATTTGATAAGACATTTTAATTAATTTTTTAAACTGTGCTAATGATATTGTGTTTATATTTTTTAAATAAAACTTTATCTTTTAGTGGTGCTTACTAAATTTTTAGGAATGTAATGGGGATGGAGAACAAATGGTTGAGTATATACGTAAAACAAGATTGTCTATAAGTTGAGAGCTTTTTAACTCAAGTGATTTATGTCTGTGTTTTTTGTTGTTTTTTAAATTTTTCTACCTACTGTTATATACATTTAAAATGTTTTTCTTAATAAAATATCTTAAAGACAAAAAAATTAATGCAGAGTAAACTGTTTAAATTTTAAATCAAAGCTATCTTAAATAATTTTACATAAGAAAATATAATATTACATAATATATTGCAGTGCTTATATAAGAGAGCTCTGTAATCCTGACATTTTTAATTTAGAGATGTGTGTTACCAATTGCTTGCCTCTATACCTGTCTAACAGAGTTGATCTTCCCTTAAAGTTGTTGTCAATCTGTTGTGATACAACTGGAACACACAGCTCTGCCAGCAGAAGTAGAATGCAAAAATTATTCTATAAACATGTTTGATAAATTGTAGGCAGCAGGGACACACGCTTGTGCCTAAACGTGAATCAAGCATATCTGAGCATAAATGATGAAATGCAGATTCATCCCATAAGTAGTAAATTTTCAAATGTTGTTTTAAATGCTGTTTTTCTTTACAAAGGAGGAGTTTGAAAATGTCTTCAGGGGGCCGGGTGCAGTGGCTCACGCCTGTAATCCCAGCACTTTGGGAGGCCGAGGCAGGTGGATCACGAGGTCAGGAGATCGAGACCATCCTGGCTAACACGCTGAAACCCCGTCTCTACTAAAATAATACAAAAATCTAGCCAGGCGTGGTAGCAGGCGCCTGTAGTACCAGCTACTTGGGAGGCTGAGGCAGGAGAATGGCATGAACCTGGGAGACAGAGCTTGCAGTGAGCCGAGATCGCGCCACTGCACTCCAGCCTGGGCAACAGAGTGAGACTCTGTCTCAAAAAAAAAAAAGAAAGAAAGAAAGAAAAAGAAAATGTCTTCAGGGGAGCAAATAATATGATACTCATCTTGGGAGTGTTTTCAGGACTGGTTTCTTGACTTAGATCAGAGCCAAAAGTTTGTTGACCTAAGTTTTAGGGCTTCTTTTACAATGTAATATATGAGATAAGGAAAAAGAAAATACTCTTAAATAGCAAAATGTAGACATATGGTGAAACATTTTAACCACTTCTGGTTGAAACTCAGTATGGTTTAGCTAAATGAGGGCTCCGTTGCAACTTGGACAACTAGGCCAGCTGCAGCTTGCACCCTTGGCAGAGATGCAGCTTTTTCACTGACAGCTCCATGTTCAGAGTCAGGGTGCACTTAACTTCAAGGGAAATAAGCATTGTGAACTGGAAATCTGTGCACTAGATATCATTAAGGGTGAAGGAAGACTATATGTGAGGTCATATTTGATGGATACACCCAACAACTGAATAAGACTTTTGAGCAGGGCTACAATAATCTCTGAATTATGAAGTTGGAAGCATGGTTCAAGAAATGTCAGCTACTCCTGTAAATGTGACCATATTAGAACAATCATCTGATCTGATCTCTGAGAATTCTATTAAATGCACTCCATAAAGTACAACAACATCTCAAGTCCACTATGCTAATGCAGGTCAAATCTACACGAAACATCATTTTGTTTTGTTTTGTTTTTGTTTTTGGACAGGGTCTGGCTCTGGCTCTGGCTTTGTCACTAAGACTGGAGTGCAGTGACGTGATCTTAGCTCACCGCAACCTCTGTCTCCTAGGCTCAAGGGATTCTCCCATCTCAGCCTGCCCAGTAGCCGGAACTACAGGTATGTGCCAACACACCTGGCTAATTTGTTATATTTTTTTGTAGAGACAGGGTTTTGCCAAGTTGCCCAGGCTGGTTTTGAACTCCTGAGGTCAAGACATAGACCCAATTTGGCCCCTCAAAGTGCTGTGATTACAGGCATGAGCCACCACAACCAGCCCATCTTTTTTTTTTTTTTTTTTTTGGAAAAAAGTAATATTAATAATGGTTCAGAGGAAAAGGAAAAATAAATATTTTGTAATTGGAATATTGTGTATGTCATTGGTATACTTCTACAAACACAGATCATATATTTGTATAATATAAAAAATAGATTAAAATTAAAAAATATATATTTAAAAAATAAAGTTGTAATATAATATTAGTAGAATGAATATCCAGGATATACTTCTTCCCTTACCAACCTTACTACCTCCCTAGTCCCCAGAGGGTTGTTTCAAGCTTTCTTAAGAACAAGGGCTGACTTTTATCATGGTCACCATTGTACCTGTTACGTTCGCAGCTCATCAACTTCAGTACCCAGGTCCAGCTCAGTTGGAACCAGGCAGACCCTGACTTTTCCAGTGAATGCCAGACAGGGCAAATTAATACAGGTCACAAATGTGGGGGTGTTCAACCCATTGAGGCAAACTGTAACAATAAAATACAGGTGACATAAAGGAGTTAGCCAGATAAACAGCTTGATTCACTTTCTCTAATACCTAAATGGACAATTCCAGACGTAGTGACTCCAAACATCCTGTTAAGGGATGCCTTTGCAACTCAGCAAGCCCTGTATTCCTTGTGAATTGATGGATGGTTATTCACTAACATATATTTCTTCCTCTCCTTCCTTCCCACCTTCCTCATATTTATTCTCTCAGCCTTGTTGTCCTGGTAATGCAGCAATCCTTCTACCACCTCTCACCCCTTATATATATATAATCATACATATACATATGCTATACTTGTGGGTAGATTTTCAAAAGAATCTTTGATAAGATAATTGGTTACATTAGTGGTCCTATAAATAAATCCCCAGAATGAGATTTTAGCCTTGCACTTACCATTGATCTGAAGTCAATAGAGATATATTTCTGTGGGTAATTAGGGCAAGTAATAATCCCTGGAATTTGTTGGTATCATATTTACTAAGGCTTTCAGCAGTGCTTAATCAGGAAGAAGTTCAGATGCAGTGTAAGAAGTCAGAAGGTGACTAAACTTGTTTTGTATAGAGGAATGATAATTATAAGAAATGTCATATGGGGTGTCTGTTTTGACAAATTTGACAAATTTGGAGACCTTGAACAAAACACGCACACACACACACACACACACACACAGAGAGAGAGAGAGAGCGCTCAGGACAGATTTTTCTTCGACCTTAAGGGTGCTATAAATATCTCACGAATTCCTTGGTAGTATTAAAAGCAATTTTAACTACTGTAACCACTAGAAAGATTAGGCTGAAAATCAGGCCGAAGATAATGGTTACAAGTTTGGAAACACTGCAGTGAAGACTCAACACACAGTCTTGGTATGTCTCGACCTTTATAAGGAAAGAATGGGACTGTGATAAAAAACTGGCAATATTTGGGATAAAAGGATTGAAAATATTGAAAACCTAAATTTTCCTGAACTCTGCTGGTCAGGAGGCCTCATGAAATGACCTGGTCTATAGCATGTGTCTTAAAAGATGATGATGTTGTTTTCAATATCTGCTGACTTTATATGTTAGCATCCAGATTTATAAGAATCAGTTCTCAGCATAGAGTGGGGAAGTGCAAGCCCTGGTCAGGAAAAAAAAAAAAAAAAAAAAGACAAAAAAATAAAACAAACCCAACAGCCTACACACCATGGGGATGTAGAAGATTTCACCTGAAGGAATGGGATGGTATATAAAAGAGTTGAGGCTCAGGTTGCTGTACAAGTTGCCTTACAACTGCATCATGTAACACAGAGTATTTGATGGTCCTCTAATTATCCATGGAGGATAGGAATGCTAAATAATGTCTTTGGAATGCCCCGCAGAAGGTGAAGGCTCCCAAGGTTCTGTATCAAAGCCAAGCATGGTAATGTTTGTTTTCTAGAGAATGAAAAATAGCACATAGTCTACATGTGACTTATTGTTTCCTGTTGATTAAATTAATTAAGCATTATTTGATTGTCTTTCATAACTACTCAGTTTATTAAAAGACATGTGTAGCCAATCCTTTCTTTTTCCTCAATAATTATTTAAGGAAGCCTATTAGTCACAATTTTTTTACAATAGAGATATTACTGATAACAGGTAAGTCACAACAAGCAAATCTTTTGAGTCTTTAGATGAATGTTATAAATCAATGAACATTTAGGTTAAATTAGAATTTCACATGCTGACTTTCAACCTAGAGAACACAATACTCTCATTATACTACACTGTACCTAAGTAACAAGATCAATGTATCTTTAGAAACCCTCTTATTCATTCATTTCTATTAATGAACATCTGATCTACTATGTGTCAGCAAGCCCAAGGCCTTAGTATTAGAATGGAGTACAAGACAGATACTCCAATTAAGGAAGTAACCCACAGTCCACACTGCCATGACACACAAATCACATATAAATAACTTGGGAATATCTTACCCTAGAGCTATGCAACAATACCTGCATTTTGGATACTAAATCTTATATGGTGTCAAATATACCATAAATAAAAAGTGACTTCAGAGAATGATCAGTTCTATGGAAAAAAGTTTAAAAGTCAATGAGATGAATAGGGAGTAATGGGGAAGAAGTGTGCTTTATCTGGAGAGGTTGGTTGGAAGCCAGTTTAGCTTATTTGAAAAGGCCTAGCAATAGGAATCTCTACAGAAAATCATTCTGAGCAGAATTAATTGCCAGTGCAATGGCTCAAAAGTAAAATAAAGATAGCTTTATTGGCATCTTTGGCATCTTTGAGGGCCAATTTTTTAAAGTAATTCTGAGTTGGTTGGGAATTAGGTAACAGTATTGCTATATAAAAGCAGAGAAAGAGGTAAGGTCCAGGTAATACAGGGTCATACATGTCATAGAAAAGGATTCATATTTCAATTTCAGTCAAAATTTCTTGGTGCATTTTAAGCATGTAACATGTACTGATTTGTGCTATAAAGTTATTACTCTACATGAAATGACAAGAGGAAATTGTAGGGGAGTTGAGAAGAAGTGAGACTTGTTAGGAAGTTAACTCACAGTTTTCAACCCTGAACAACTGACTGGTGAAAGCATTAATTAAATGGAGAAGGCTGAAGGATTCAAAGATGTTGCCGTTTAGGAGATTTTCCTTAGGACACAGGAGTTTTGAGGTGTCTCATACATATCAAAGTAGAAATATCAAGCAATTGTTACCAAAATGCAAGGGGCTCTGTCTAGGTCCTGCTGCTCACCTCGCAAAAAGCCAATCACTGAAACAATGAGTATTTCCAGAGAAGAAGGCTTTATTTGGTTTCTGCAGCAAAAGAGATGAAAGATCAGTCTCAAATCAGTCTCCCTGAGCAACTCTAATAGTGAGTTTATATAGAAGGAAAGGAATGTAACTACATGCAGGTAAACAGGAATTAGGGAGGGGTAAGAAAATCATGAAAGATATGGGTCTTGTTTTTCACTGTCTGAATATAGTGATCTAGGGAGTTTCAGCTCACTGATACTATCTGGAAGGCCTGAGGGTTGGTTTTCCGAGGAAGAAACTCAAGTAAGACAAATGTAAGTTTTAAGCTTTAGGACCGGGAGAGTCCATTTCTATGTTTATTTTAAAACACTGTAAACATCAGTTCTATGGGACAATTGGGCCTGTTTTAAGTCCCCCGTTTCTATTTATCAGTTCCAGGGAATTAGGTTAAAGATCTCTTTGATTGCTTCATGCTGAGGAGAGGCATTGTGAGATAATCATGAAGAATGAAAATATTACCTCTGTTATTGGAAGTACTCATGAGTACCTGGTCAGCATCTGGCTTGTTGAAGCACCACAGTCTGAGTACTTTTATTAATGGCTTTAGAACAGCATTTTAACCCAAGTTGACTAGGATGATTAATAACATAATCAAAATTTTAAAATATCAAAGAATATGGAATGAATATCGTAGAGAATCCAAGAAAAGCACATGTTCCGTAGGGTATTTGGACGGGCTTTGAATATTAACATAAAGTCATCCAACAGTTCATAAAACCAATCCCACAGGGACTGGTTTTATCTAAGTTTGGTAAATCCATGGCTTACCATCAGCTAACCTGACAGATTAATGGGTGGTTATAGTACTTCAAAAGGCCTGACCCATGGTGGTTGCAGCTGGTTTTCAACTTGTTTGAATTTCCAGGTCTTCAGAAAGACCTGGTCCTTTAGTTTCAAAGCGTGACGAGGCATGTCTATAGGGAACTGAAGCCTGTTGGAAGCAAACTCAGAGAGACTGGTTAATATATCTCCTAGTTGTTTTATACACGACCTAGCTTCTTTATCTAAGTGAATGCCCCTTAATTTTAATAATGGTAAACAGAAAGTAGCTTGAGAGAAATCCCAGTCAATCTAATTTTCTTAGAAAGTCAGTCTTCCCCACACATTAAAACTTCCTACTCACATCACAGTTTTTCCTCATTAACTAAAGGAAAATATCTAAAACCAAATCAAATTATTGATTGAATTGAATTACATTGGTAATAAACACCATTTAAAGATTTCTACTCTCACCTACTTTTCCAAATAACAAAATAAAGAATTGATTAGTTCTGTTCAGAACTTATAAAAATGAGTCTTTTTTTTCCCTCCAGGAAGCTTAAAGCTCTGATAGCTCTGTAGATCATCAGAAGTAAGCAAAACCAATCGAATATTGAATGGCTGATGTGCTCTAGCAATTTTTGGAGGCTTGACAAAGGTGGCTTAGAAACTTTATATTAATAAAGCAAATGATGAATTGTTGGAAATGCATAAGAAACAAAATGACATTCCCTGAAAAAGTTTTCATTAGAAACTTCCAACATCAATAGTTTTATATATGTATATATAAGTAAAATCCAAAGTAGACCAGATAGCAAATGAATGAAAATTAGAAGCCAAACCAAATAAACAGGAAATGAATCCCACTTTTTACCCTCATTTTTTTTTTTTACCAAAAATACATATCTTTGTATCCATAACTTTCTGTACATCTCTCTCCCCTACTTATTGGTTCCTTTCTACCTTACTTCCTAAATAATCTTTCCAAGTCCATAATCTGAGTTAATCTTTGGATAATTTTTGAACTGGACAAAATGATTCTTTTTCTCAATAAAAACACATTTTTTGGTATGTTTTATATACAGAATTACACATTAACTAGAATTCTTATTCTTAGCAATTTCACTAAATTCTTAATTTTTTTTATTTTTTAATTTTTTTTAATTTTTTTTAATGTTTTTATTTTTTATATGGAGTCTCGCTCTGTCGCCCAGGCTGGAGTGCAGTGGCGCGATCTCGGCTCACTGCAACCTCTGCCTCCCAGATTCAAGCTATTCTCCTGCCTCAGCCCCCTGAGTAGCTGGGATTACAGGCGTGCACCACCACGCCTGGCTAATTTTTTTTGTATTTTTGTAGAGATGGTGTTTCACCATGTTGGTCAGGCTGGTCTCGAGCTCCTGACCTCGTGATCCACCCGCCTAGGCCTCCCAAAGTGCTGGGATTACAGAAGTGAGCCACCAGGCCCGGCCAACTTCACTAAATTCTTAATTTTAGTGAAAATTTAGGAAGCAAGAAATCCTGAACTATCAGATATTAGTTCTGATTGGATGCCACAGTGTTAACCAGAGCCTTAAAAAGAATATGTGATAGATATTTTGTTTCTGGCATACAAATTAATGCCTTTAGGTCTACTAAAACCATTATACATGTGTACAGCTAACAAATTCACTTCAGGCACATGATGAGTAAGTACAGTAGTGCTAGTACCACCTTTGCAGAATAGCAAATATAGTATGAAAGAAAGCAATGCAGGCATTTTTGTGAAATTTGGCTTCATGCTAAATTTGGCTTCATGCTTAATTATATTAAAAAAGAATTGTCAAACTGCCAATGTATTTCCTTGCAATATTTCTTATTTTACCTTTATCAAGATTAAGAGCTTTAACTATGAACAATGTCAACTGGCCAAATTTCTCAAATTTCCTATCAGGTTTTACAGAATATTTTACTATACAAGCTTTTGCAACTTCCTGTTTTCTCTGTATGTAGATGAAGATACAGAGAAACAAACAAATAAAATACTGCATATGACTTACACATACCATCTATAACATGCTTAAACTTTCTGTTTTGTCCTAAAGTTTCTTTTTGTTTTAAATACTTATTTTAAATTTATCATACAAGATCATTTTCCATATAAAATTATTCTTTTTTCTTTATAAACTTCTTTTATCAAAATATATATATAGAAGGTTTTCATTAGAAACTGCCAACAACAACAGTTTTATATATGTATATATAAGTAAAACCCAAAGGAGACCAAATAGCAAATTAATGAAAATTAGAAGCCAAACCAAATAAACAGGAAACCAACCCCATTTTTCACTTCCTTCTTTTACCAAAAATATATATCTTCATCTTCATAACTTTCTTTATATCTCTCCCCTACTTATTGGTTGCTTTCTACTTTACTTCCTAAATAACCTTTCCAAGTCCATAGTCTGAGTTAATCTTTGGATAACTTTTGAACTAGACAAAATGATTCTTTTTCTTGATAAAAACACATGTGCTTTGGTATGTTTTATATACTGAATTATACATTAGCTCGAATTCTTATTCTTAGCAACTTCATCACAAATTCTTAATTTTAGTGAAAATCTAGGAAGCAAGAAATCCTGAACTATCAGATATTAGCATTTTATAGATGAGAAGATTCCATAATTTTCAAAAATATGTTTTCCCATATTAAAACCCTTTCTCACTTGGAAATGACTCAGACAATCTAGAGGCATCAAAAATAATTTTGAGATTTTAAATGGTATTGTACCAATTTGCATTGCATTCACTTTTCTCATTTTTAATAGTTTTATCGAGATTACTTTTGAGAACTGAGATGTTAGAAAAAGCTCATCATTATTTTCTTGTTAACCATTTTACAACATGTGAATACAAGGTGTTCATGTAACTTAAAGTTACTTCATGGGTATTTTCACCAAGAATTCAGACAATTCAGCTATTTTCATTAAACCAACAATATTAAATAGTCTTAATTAGTTAAAAGGGTCACACAAATGAAGATCATTTTGTTTTGTCTGGGTTTATAGTTTACTCACCTTCTGTGCCAAACTCTGACATCTCATAATATCTAGCAGAGACATATGTAAAACTCAGACAGAAATATGTGCTGACAATTTCAAAGACATTTTATTTATATCTTACCAATCATTTTAAAGATAGCCTGTTTATTAATGATTTACTTAAGTCACGTGAGTTAAAAAATGCTTGGATATATTTACTTAATATATAAGTGCTCTTTCATTTATAAGTCAATTTGGTAGACATAACATATGACATAATAAATGTACATACACATAAACACATCCAAACATGTATATACGCAAAGATTCGATAGCTTTTACCTTGAAACTGCAGTCATGAGACAGCAATACAAACTCACCAGTCTATAAACATGTTCAAATGGTTAAACGTTGTTTCCCACAATAGGTAATCTACTGAAGGCTGTGAATCAAAATTTCAGGTAAAGTAGTTTCCATGGCAGTATAATTTTTAAAGGCTAAAACCTCCCCAGACTCCAGAGAGTACTGGGGCCAAACAGCACCACAGAAGAACATCACATACTAACCAATCCCAACCCTGTTTAAAACTGCACCATAAAAGCTTGGATACATAGAACTCCATCCAATTTTCCCTTTCAACCACAAAATAGATCCAGAAAGAGGCAAAACTTCCCTGGATCCCAAAGAATATGGGGCCAAACAGTATTACAAAAGATTATGAGTTCATTAATTCTGATTTCCTTGACTATATTGATACACAATCATCAAAACACAATCCAACTGTTGCAGTAACTAACAAGCCCCAAGAATATCCAAACTGAAACAGTCAGGGTGATTTATCCTCTCCCAGTCGGCTTGGCTTGTTCAACCTGTGAAGAGAAATTTTTTCAGAATTTCCCAAATTGAGTGGTGCAGATTCCACTGTCTGGTACCAAGAAAAAAGACTCACTTGTCCAGATACAGATGACAAATTTCAAGGGATGTTCTTCCTAGGCAATCAGGAACACAGCTGGGGCTGGAAGTGGAGAGATCAGAGAGAAACCACAACCCAACTTCAGCCAATGAAAGGGACTGGCAACTGCTTAGGAAGGCTTCTGAAACTTCAAGTCTGCAGCAGCCATGCCACAAGCAACATATTCTTAGTTAGGGAATCAAAATCTGTTTCCAAAATGGTAAGAATTTGGTAGAGGTCCTTCTGTTCACAACACGGAAAGCCAATCACTGAGACAATGAGTATTATCAGAGCAGAAGGCTTTATTCAGGTGCTGCAGCTGAGGAGGACAGCAGATCAATCTCAAATCCATCTACCTGACCAACTAAAATTGGGAGTTTATATAGCAGGGAGTGAATATAACTACTTGTAGGTAAACAAGAATCAGGAAATGGAAAGAAAATCATAAGGGATGAGAGGTCTGGCTTTTCATTATCTGAATGTTGTGATCTTGGGAGTTTAACTACTTTTATACTATCCAACAGGCCTGAGGGTTAGTTTTCTAAGGAAGGACTCAGATAAGACAAATGTAAGTTTCATGCTTTAAGATCAGGAGGGTCAATTTCTATGTTTATTTTAAAAAATTATAAATATCAGTTCTATGGGATAATTGGGCCAGTTTCACATCATGTGTGCTAATGTAAGTAAGGTTAAAATTCAGATAATATGATAAATTCTGGAATATTTGCTATGTAGATTAAATTGTAATCCCTTTCTTTCCCACTGCACAAACAAAACCAATTCACTGAGACAGCAGCATTGCAGTAGAGAAAGAGTTTAATAATGCACTGCTAGCCAAGAAGGAGAAAGGGAGTTTATTACTCAAATCAGCTTACTTAAGGACTCAGAGACTAGGGTTTTTATGAATAATTTGGTGGGCAGGGAGCTAGGGAATAGGTGCTGATAATTGGTTGAGAATGGCATCATTCAGGTGTGGAAAATGGTCCTCATGTGCTTAGGGCAGGGGCCACAGGACTGTTGGAGTCATGAGTCATGAGTCTGGGTGGAATCAGTGGGTACCAGAATGCAAAAGTCTGAAAAACATCTCAAAAGACCAATCTTAGGTTCTGCAATAGTGATCCTATCTACAGACACAATTAGGGGAGTCAAAAATCTTGTGGCCTCTGGCTCTAAGACTCCCAAGCAGCAGAGGATTATAGAAAAGCAAACTAGGAAACAATGGCTGGTTATTGTTTACCTATGCCTACTTCTGAGCAGTATTCAGGCCACTCCCATAACCCTAATTTTGTGGCCTTTTATTTATCTTATAAAGGTCATTTCCATTTCCAAACAAGGAGGAGATCAGTTTTAGGGAGGGACTATTATCATCTTTGCTGGTAAGTTAAAGTACAAACTAAATTCTTCCCATGGTTAGCTTGCTCTACACCCAGGAATGAGCAAGGTCAGCCAGCCTGAGAGGATAGAAGCAAAACTGAGCCAGGCATTCTAGCCTTCTCTCACTGTCATAATTTTTGCAAAGTCAGTTTCAAAATCACCTGGTGCTTGGGGATTAGTAAAACAGACTGGAACTTAGTGACAGAGCCCGGGTACTCAAATATTTAACCGAACAAACAAGGTGCCAGGACTTTAAAAAGACAAAGAAAGTATACCAGAAGAGTTTTGGGGTGCAGATAACAATGCTCTCAAGTTTGGTTCTTTGGCATGCTGAGTACTTTGAGTTAGAAGAAATTGGAGGGTCTTAGAAGCTGCTTCAGAACCAAGGACTTCCTAATCTTCTCTTGTTTCTTCCCACACACCCCACCCCCACGTGCAAGGAAGGACTATCTTTGGAATTTTCTTATCTGACTAAGAAGACTTCTTTCCAAGAGAAATGCAATTGTCTTAAGGTCCCCTCCCTAGGAATCTCATCAAATAACCAGTAAAGATCAGCCTAGAAAAAAAAGAGACTAAAAATCACAGTACCCAGATAGATTTCCTGCCTATTCTTCTGAAGGAAGCTTTGAGAGAGATTACCTAGGAGACTTTACCTACATAAAAAGACAACCTTTGCTCACAGTGCAATTTGGGCCCTTACCTAACTTGTTGGACACATTTTGTTTTCTAAAAATAATCATTTACAAGATAATGTCTACTGCCTAGGTTCATTCATTTTCCCTAAAAAGTATTTATTATTATCCACCTAAAATTTCCTATAGCCCTCTCAGTTTCCTCTCCCCTAATAAGAGAATATTTAAGCCTCGATTATCAGGTCCTTTGAGTCTCATATTTGAGGGATTTTCATGGTCATATGCACATTAATAAATGTGTGACTTTTTCTCCTATGAATGCAACTATTGTAAATTCATTTTCAGTGAAACTTCAGAGGATAAAGGGTAAACTTTCCCTAATCACCCCTACAAGAGGAAGGTATCATGGAAACCTAGAAAACATTTCAAGAATGACGTGGTGGTACACTGCATTTAAAATGTTGAGATATTAAGGTAAGTGCAAGAAATAGAAAATTGGAGGCAAGGTTTCCCCACTTCCATAAATGGCCTTATAGTGACCTAAGTCAAAAACTTGAAGTCATATCTAACTCTATTGTTCTCACCCCGCCTCCTATCTATCAGTACAATATGTTGCATCTATTAAAATACATATCTGTAATGAGAACATCTACTGTAATCTCTAATGCTATTATCCTGGTCCAAGTCATAATAGCCTTTTGAGTGGTCTCCAAGTTTCTATTCCAGTCCTCTTTTATTCTATTCTAAACACTATAATCAGTGTGCTCTTATTAACTTGAAAGTTACATTATAAAAGCATCCTACTCAAATCTTCTAAAGGCTCTTCATCTAATGACAGTAAAACTAACATTTTTACAGTGTTCTATCAGCCTCTTCCCCTTTTAGCCTCTGTTGCTTTTTGTACCACCACTCCTACTATAGCTTAAGTCACTCCAGTTGTTCTGGTCACCTCTGTTCTTTAAATATACAAATATCTCCTCCTTCAGAGTCTTTGCCTTTTAATGTTGTCCTGTGAGATATTTCTCCTAGACATTGGCAAGGTTTTCCCCTCAACTCCTCTATGTCATCACTTAAAGGTCATTTTTTGGTGAGACATTCCTTGACCATTGTGGTAAGTAGGATAAAGAATATTCTAACTCCATAATCTGCAAATATATGTTAACTTTAAATGAAAAAGGGGACTTTGCAGATGTGATTTACTTTTCTGACTCTGAGGTGGGAAGATTGTCTTGTATTATCTAGATGGGCAATACTTTAATCATATAAGCCTTTAAAAGTGGACAACTTTTATGTCTATATTGAGTGAAAGAGAGAGAACCAGAGAGATGGCAGTGTGAGAACCACATGTACATTTTTTAGCTTTGAAGATGGAGGAAGGGGTCATGTGCCAAGCAATGGGGGTGGCCTATAGTAGATGGAAAAGGGAAGAAAATGGATTCTCTCCTGGAGCCCTCAGAAAGGAATAAAGCTCTGGCAACACCTTAATTTTAGCCAAGTGAGACTTGTATCAAACTTATTACTTGAAGAAATATTAGATATTGAATTTTTGGTTTAAGCCACTAATTAGTAATCTTTGAGAGCAACAGAAAAGTAGTAGAGCCAAGCTATCTAAAATTGCAAACTTCCCATCAAATCTCCCATTTTTTTCTGCCTTTTTTTCATAGCACTCACAGCCCTCTGCCTCCATTTTTATTCATTCATTTCATTTATTGACTGTATTTTTTTTTTTTTTTTTTGAGACAGAGTTTTTCTCTGTTGCCCAGGCTGGAGTGGAGTGCAATGGTGTGATCACAGCTCATTTCAGCCTCGACCTCCCAAGTTATTGCTGACAGCCTTTTACCACTGGATTATAGGTTAAATAAGCAGAAATTATTGTCTCTCTTTTTCTTTTTTTTTTTTGTCTTTTTCAATTAAAAAGGTGTTCTGCTATACCTCAGAATCCTTTTTTAAATGTTTTATTGACACATAATGATTATACATATTTATGGGGCACATGTGGTCTTCTTATACATGCATACAATGTGTATTGATCACATCAAGGTATTTAGGATACTCATCAAACATTTATCATTTATTTGCTTTGGGGACATTAAAAATCTTGTATCAATTTTGAAATATACAATATATTGTTGTTAACTACAGTCACCCTACTGTCCTACTGAACACTAGAAATTATTGCTTTATACCACAAAATTCTTGATAATCACTTAATCCACAAGAGCTCTTGAATTAAATCAGGTAAAATAACTAACAAATTAATAAACTAATGTACTCTAACCAGGTTTATATTTCATCATTCAAGTAAAACAACTGCAGCTCTGTCATCCCCAGCTGAAAAATCCAATAAATAGTTTTACAGGCTCGACTTTCTTGACTCCCTAAAAGTCAAAACTCACTGAAGAGAACCAAGTTTTTGATAACAAAACACTGTTTCCTCCTCTTTTATGATTCCATATTCTCCTATAATCTCTTATTTACTAAAAATATTCAAGTAAAATTATCTTAAGGACCCAAACTAGGTCTCTTTCTGCACATGCTCACATTAGCTAGCTTCATGGATTCCCACATTAATCACACCGCCTATATGCTGAACACCAGCTGTACTTCTCCAGCCTAGGCCTGTTTTCTGGGTTTCAGACATCTATATCCTAATGTTTGCTAAGCATTCCTACTTGGTCCCACAAAAGGCATGTCAAATGCATCCTCTCCAGTTTGAACTCTGAAATCTTGCTGACTGTATGAAGACAGTCATTTTACATATTTAATCTAAGGTTCATAAACCAATAAAGTTCTGGAATCACCACACATTTAATACTTACACTATACTAAGATAATTTCCACAGGAAAATTAAAAAAAAAAGAACTTAGACTGTGATAGAGTCAAGTGGGTTTAACACTATTCTAATAGAGTAAAAATCATCCTTTCTTCTGAACACAGTGTTTTCTATCTATCATCTGGAATAGAGGATATTTCACCACTGTCACTCTTGGTATATTCACTATTATTGGAGATTGGAAAAAGGAAAGGAGATTAGGCTAAATTAATCTGTTTTCTGTAGGGCATACACTTTTATTGAAACTGCCAGTTAAGGTGATATTCCATTTTAGCTGCCAGGTCTCTTACGTTGGCTTTACCTTCCTGGGTTAAATGACTATCAGTTCTTTGGAAACAACCTGTCACTGATGGCAGGTGATGCAAAGAATGAGGAGCTCAGGCAGCTCACTGGTGGAATCCTCCTGTTACTTGATTCATTTAGAGAGGAAATTAATGCCATTCCTTACCCTAAAGGAAAAAATAGAAGCAACATTAAAATACAATAAAATAATTCATAGGTAAGAAAACAGATATCATAGCTCATCTCCCAGTTGAAACTTAATTTGGTTAATGACTTTCTTTAGGTCACTGGTTGAAATGATCATAGTATTGTTAGACAAGAATAACCAATAATATTGTTAAACAAGTTTAATTTGAACTTGTTAGACAAGTTTAATTTGTCTAACCTTATAGACAAGTTTAGTTCAAGGTTTTCTTGAATAATTCTACCAAATTATTTTGTTTCTTTTTAAGCTGTAGGGAAAGGACTCACCTCTACTCAAGCACATGAAGGCTTGGAATATAATAATAACAATAATAATATTTATCAAACACTTAATATGTGCCAGGCTTTGTGCTACATACTTTACGTATTTTGTCTTCTTACATTATTCCACTTCTATTTTCATAGAATGAATTCACTATGAATCTAAGATCTCCATGAGTTTTCTATTTTTTTCTAATATTTGGAGGTTTTAGTCTGAAAAATATTTGTCTTCTTATTTCTCACATATCTGTTTTTTTTTATTTTAAAGTACTTTTCTGCCTTTTTAATATTAATATTTTTACCTTCAATTTCTGGCTTTTTTTCAAATATCTGATAATGTTTTGTTTTTCAACAAAATCTTACCTCAGAAAAGTATTGGCACACAGTAAGCAGTTAAGTGATTCTTAAAATTATTATTTCAAATTATAATTTTTCTTGTAATAATAAGAAAAGATTAGTTATATAGAGGCTTTCCTTTACAGTGAGCATGAGAGGAACTAAACCTTATGTTCAGGTTTATCCAAATGCTAGAAAAAGGAAGGCTATTCTTAAATTAACAACATCCATATTAACTGTACACTCTTTTCCCAGAGGGATTATATAATCCATCAGAAAAGAATAGTATTTTTTTTTCTCTTGGTAGGCAAATTCCTGGCTGCCCTGCAATCTCTAAATAAAGGCAGAGGTGGGAAGTGTGAATGCATAATATACTGTTATGTAAATGACATTCAAGTTTGCAGTTAGGATTTCTGATTTCTGCCTCCACCTCTCACTCCTTTCCTCTGATAAACCTGCTGTCTCTTAAGTCCAGAGTTCCTTCGGTTTCTTTGTTCTTCTCAGCATCCTTCATCAGACTGTGACTTTCTCTGCTCTAAGCCATCCATAAATAGTCTGTCATCCACTTTTCAAATTCTAGAAATTTGTTAAAATTTGTCATCCGTGGAGATGCTCCTTTAATTATTATGAAATCATGCTCATTAAATGCTCCTCTATTGACTTAATATGGTTGGGAACAAGGAATATTATGAAAGCATGGACTCAGTCTTTTATTTTACTCTAGAAGTCACTTTGAGGATGTTTATGACTTTAAATTTTTATCAGCCTTCCAGCTTCCAATCCAGATTACAGAGACCTGGAAAGAACATTACTCCAATGCTTGCAACAAAATGTAAAGTTATTTGGGCTAACAAAATTCACAATGTTTTTAACCTATTAAAGAGGAGAGCACAGAGCAACCAACTTGGACAAAATTCTCAAGACAGGATGGAGGCAGTGAAAAAAGAACTGTAAGGATTCATTTATCCAAAGTAGATACAAGGGTAAGAAGAGTTCAGTTAGAATAGATGTAGACCAATGAAAGCTGAGTGTGGGCTGGCAGGACAGTGTGAAACCACTGGGAGCTGAAGATATTGGAGTTTATACCCTCTTTCAGACATCCACCATGAACCCTGCTGAGTGCTCAGAGGAAAAATTGGAAGAGGCCCTGAGAAATGACCATGTGGTGCAAACCTAGGGTAGGAAAAAGCAGCTGCACAAAAGGGCAAGAAATTCCACGTGGACTTGTTTCCCTCTCTGCTACAGAACAAAACCTTTACTCTTTGGGAATGAAGGGAAACCAAGAACTGCAATCCTTAGTGCAATGGTGAAACCACATTGCAGTTGAAAAAAAAAAATGTCAGGTTTAAAAAGCAAAAAAACAAAAGCTATTGTTTGAAAAGTAGTTGGATGATACATAGAGCCCACAGCTACAGTCAGAAGACAAGCAGCAGGACAAAGAAGGCTGTATCTCCCAGATCCTGAGACATTACTCCAGGTCAAATACTGAGGTTTAACTACTAATTAGAGAATGCATCTCATTTTATGAATTAGAGAATGTACACCGTTAAGTGAAGCAGCTTCAACTTGTAAGTCACAGCAGAGCATGCCAAGAGACTTTCTGAGGCTCAGCACAGGGGCAAGGCCTGAGACTCAGCATTGGAGAGGCATTGCTCTGGAAAATCAACCTTGCTCTAAATACAAGGTATTTATACAAAAATTTGAAGCCTGTGGTATACTAATAGCAACCATAGCAATAACCCTACAAAATCAGTACCACTCTTAAATATGTTGATGCAGACTTTTCCATTAAATACTTAGGGGAAAGGTGTCCCCAATTCCAAGTACACATATTATTTAGCTCAAACTGTGCTTTACCTACATATGATGTCACCAAGAAAATGAAATATGATGTAAATGTAAAAGCAAGAAAAAACCTTCTAAAGAATACACAAAATAAAATCTGAACCAGACTCTGATATGACACAGGTATTGGACTTGTCTGAGAGGGAATTTTAAATCACTATAATAAATACCTTAAAGGCTCTAATTAAAAAGATGGACAAAATGTAAGATGAAATGAGTGATTTCAGTTGAGGGATAAAAACTCTATAAAAGAATAAAAAAATGGGGAAAATAAAAACACAGCAACCAAGACATTTAATAGAGCCAAATAAAGAATCAGTGAATTTAAGAAGCAGTCAATAAAAATTACACAAATTAAAACACAAAGGGGGAAAAGAGAATAAAAAAAAAAAACCCAAAACACTAGGAAATTCAAGAGCTGTGGAACAATATTAAACATTCTAACTTAGGTGTGATAGGAATCCAAGAAGGAAAAGAAGGAAGTTCTTTTAAATAATCATGAAAAGTTTTCAAAATTAATTATAGTTAATATAGTACATATCCAACAAGCTCTTGAACACTAATCAGAAACAAACACACATCAGATACTAAAAGGCTAAGGACAATGAGAAAATATTAAAGTTAGCCAGAGAAAAAAGAAACACTACAATGAAGCAAATAAAGCAATATCAGAAATTATGCAAGTTGGATGATACTAAAGAACCTTTAAAATGAGGAAAGAAAGTAATTCAGTCTTCCTAACCAGAAATTTATACTTGCAACCCATATCTAAAGAAATCCATATCTAAAGAAAATAGCTTTTAATAATAAAAGGGCAATAAAGCCTTCCACAGGAAAACAAAAACTCTAAGAATTCACTGCTCACAGACTTTCTCAACAAAAACATTAAAAATGTTCTTCACGCATAAAATATATGCTGTCAGATTGATATTTGGATCTACAAAGAAATGAAAAGCTCTGGAAATGAAATAAATGTATGGTAATGAATTAATTTTCTTGAGCTCTCAAAAAAGTGAGATAGAAATGTATCAATGCCTAACATGCTCTCTTTTTTTTTCTTTTTTAAAAAGACAGGGTCTCGTTCTGTTGCCCAGGCTGGGGTACAGTGATGCCACCTCATAGCTCACTGCAGCCTTGAACTCCTGGGCTCAAGCCATCCTCCTACCTCAGCTCCCTGAGTAGCTGGAACTAATGGTATGTGCCATCATGCTCATTTTTATTTTGTTTTTCACAGAGACGGGGTCTTGCTATGTGCCCAGGCTGGTCTTAAATGCCTGCCCTCAAGCAATCCTCACATCTGGGCTTCCCAAACTGCTGGGATTACAGGCCTGGACCACCTTGCCTGGACCCAAAATGCTCTTTCAAAGAAACTTTTTATTCACATATCAATGCTCAGGAATAACTGCCAGGTTGTTATGGATCAACTTTACTCAAAGTAGTGAAACAAAAGCTGTGTAGACCAATTATGCTTGATACCAAAAGTGTAGATATAGACATGTTTGCATAAAGTGAAAGCTATTACAATTAGAATGTGAAATAAAGTTTATAAATGTTCTTCTTTAAAAGTAATTTGGTAATTTATACATTCTTCAAGTTGTTTTTAAACTCAACTCAATGATTTTGTAGCTAATTATATCAAAGTGTTTTCATGCTTGAAATTCTGATGGTATTTAAAATATATATTTTTCTCATTGTAGAATATGCTTTGATTGGAATTTATCAAGCATAGGCTTTGATATGAAAATCAAAATTATTATCCAAAAATACTTAATTTTTATGGTTGAATTGCAATATATATTGTCAAATAAAGTAGTAGGGTGGAAAGATGACTTGTCCAATAAAAGCTTTCAGGGAAAAAGAAACATTTAGAAGGTGTGAGGATTCTCCTTCTGGCTTGAAACCAGAGTGAGACTTCTAAAATGCAAAAAGCACTTGTCTTTTTTTTTTTTCTTTAAATGTTGTCAAAATTTTTGATTGCCTTAAAAAAAGTTAACACTGTTTGATATAGTTCTAGAAGTCATGGCCTGTTTATCCTGCCTGCCTTATTTTTCTCCATCCATAACTTTTACCTCCTCTCACCTCACAGCTATGGTTATATTGAACACCTCTCAGTTACAAGCATAAAATGTCTTTGGATTCTCAAACAATTTTTCATCTGCCTCAAACAATTTTGACCATTATACTTTAGTTATCAGATGAAATGTAATTCCTACTGACCATCCCTAGGCTGATGTGTTAGATAATGTTTTTAGATGTAATTTGTGAAGTTTTTTTTTTTTCTTTCTGCCTTACCACATTTTCTTCTTTCTCTTTCTCTGTAATTTTTAGCATAGCAGGTCTCATGTCTTTCTGCCTCAGGGGAATTGTCTGCCAGGTAAAAAAATAAATAGAACAAGTCAGCAGGACTTCTGGATTTTGCCTTCAAAATCTTAAAACCTTCAAGAAAGGCTAGGGTTGTCAGTAAAAAGGTGTACATTAGTAGAAGAAAGAGAATCGACCCAGTCAATAATCATAGGAAAAAATTATACCAGCAAAGGAGAAGCAAGAGAGTAGTGTTGGATCTATACAGCTCAACACCTGGACTTTGTTCCCTGCCTTTATCCAAGTAAGATGAACACTAGAGATGATTTATGCATCTGCAATATATTGGGGGATACAGAGGTGTAAGATGTAGTGTTTATTAAAGATACTCAATAAATGTTCTTTAACTATATGATTGCACCAAAATATAAATGCAGAAAAGAATAATGCTAGAATTAATGAGGCAGCATCTCCTAAGAGCCTAGAGGCATTGAAGGATTGAAGAACAAATTGAATTAATTTACAGGAAATTAAGTGACATTTCTTTATACCTGTGTGCCTGGAGACATAGTGATACTGCTAATAGTAATATATGGTCCCATAGAAATTTATCACTATTGTAATAAAGTTTGCCACATTTTATGCCTACTGTTTAATTGTGCATGTTTTCCCCTAGAATGGGGACAGTTTGGGATTGTCCACAAGTCTATTTTGCTTTATAATTTATTCTCAAATGCCTAACAATAAATGACAATTAATGATCTTATGTTTAAAGAATAAGATAAGAGATGAATGAAAAGTTTGATCGCCTGGGATGAATTCTGGTTCAAATAACAGTATTGTTACTGGATATTTTAGAAACTATCTAATTCAGAGTTTTATCTGTCATCTAAAATTCACTCCACTCTGTGTAGTTCATATCGGTCTTTTTAAAACTGCAACCACATACCTTGCTGGCTATGGTATGTAAAACATGCAAAGCGATGCATACATTTACTTTACTTTCATTGGTATTGAAAGATAATTTTCTCCTGGATAAGAATTTAAATCTATTAAGAAAGTAAGACGCATATGAAGATCACTTTGAGAAGATGATATATATCTGTGGACGAGTGGGGTTCATAAAGCACTGACTGTAGGGGTCTGACATTGGGGACTGCCCTATAATGTCTTCACATGAAAATGGAAAGGGAACTGTGTTGTCTGCAGACAGGTAGTTAAGAGAAAAAGAAAGTTGTTGAGCCAAGAATTCCTAGTTCATTATTTCCAAATTTATCAGTCAAGTATGTCAGAAACTTGGCTCATCTTACAATCACTGAAGGCTAGGTAGGATGTTGAATTTGTTGTCATTGTGTTTCCATGAGCATCAAACTTTCAGGATGGGCTTTAGCAGCTGGGAGGAAAATTCTGAGATAACAATTCTTAAAATTGTTATTTTGAGAAATGTGGCAAATCAAGCCTCTTGATTTCTCAGAGGTTGATATTGTATGAAGAAATATGAACATTGATGACTCTGAGTACAAACACATTTCAAACAGTCATTAGACCATTTATTTAATTTGTTTTCCTTCCTCATGTATACACATGAATGATACATAATAAATATCTAGGTCTAATTAAACTTGAAAGACTTCTTTCTGTAAATATAAAATAAAAAGGCAACACAATCAGAAATCTTTCCGTAATTGGATTTGTAAATTTTTCTATTAATTAGTGTTAACAGAAAATAATGGTGTGCCTTGTAATTGATGGCATCTTATGTTAAAGGAAGTAAGATAGTTCATTGAAATACACTTGTAATTAACAAGTCCATATCCAGTGGGAGTAGTACTTACTTAGTATTTCAAAGTTAACCACAGAACAGGCTCTTGCTCCTTTGGACAATTGACTATGGATATTAATTTAATTCAAATAATCTAAGTTAGTAAGTAATAAAGAAAATGCTATTTGAAGCAAGATTCCTGTGAAACATGCTGAACACTTGGATGGTAATAGCTTAACAGTTACTTATCTTTTTTTAATTAAATTCTGGCCCCCAAAACCTACTTCTGCCTTCTAGAATGAGAAAGTGTGACGATACATTTTATTTCTATTCCCCTTTTGCTGTGAAGAAATAAAATGTCATTAGACTAGGCAAGTTCCTTGCAATAATCTTGGCTATTGTATTCA
Source organism: Homo sapiens (assembly GCF_000001405.40). Lineage (NCBI taxonomy): Eukaryota > Metazoa > Chordata > Mammalia > Primates > Hominidae > Homo > Homo sapiens. The sequence goes on along the minus strand of NC_000013.11, from coordinate 88,476,328 downwards.
TGTTCTCTTCATAGATCTTTTTCTTATCAGATAAGATTTAGATATTCTCTTTTCTAGCTAATATAATTTCAAGCCCTTGTTTCATTTTCCTTAATTTTTGGTATTCGGTGTGAATATCTTGGCCATAAGCTGTCCTCTTTGGCTTCCAGGTCTCTCGATTTTACTCTTATATTCATGTAATGGATCTGTATTTTCTACCATAGGGCCTTCTTTTTATTACAGCTCAGCCTTTACCTTGGGTGAAAATTCTTCACTGAGATCCTGGACTCCACAAGTCCTAGAGAGATTCCTCTGTCTTCCTGGCAGACAGCAGAGTTCATTGGGCATGACCCGCCAGTGTTTGTGCTTTAATAAATCTCCCATCTCTCACTGATCTGGGACACTTCCTCAACTAACTTGTCCAGTTTTCCAACCACCTCTATTTTTACAGGTAGAATTAAGCTCTTGGAATCTGTTAGAGACTTTTCTGGTTGTGCTCACAAATAACTGTATATTTTAAGTTCCAGAATAGTACAATATCCATTCATGTTGTCTCTTAAGTATCTGGTTTAATATAGTTTTGCATTAAAAAATTCTGAAGCTTCTTTTTATAAAAGTGCTTAGCTTATTGGAGTAGAAATAACTCGACTTTACTTTTTGGACATAATATCTCAGCTCCAGCTGCTATTTCTATCTTTCTCTCCTGCCCCTGCAATTTCTCTTTGTGATGCAAACTACAGAATAACCCACAGGTTAGCAGCATGCAGTCAAATAGTTCTTATCACACCTCTTAAATTTTTTTGACTAGTTAACTTTCACTACTATTATAGTACCCACTTTCAATTATCTATACTTCCAACTGCCAATCTGCTGAAATTTCTAGATAATAGAAAATTTTTATAAAACATAATGTAATATATATTCAGTTTTTCTTTTTTTGTTTGAGACGGAGTTTTGCTCTGTCGCCCAGGCTGGAGTGCAGTGGTGCGATCTCGGCTCACTGCAAGCTCCGCCTCCTGGGTTCATGCCATTCTCCCGCCTCAGCCTCCCCAGTAGCTGGGACTACAGGCACCCGCCACCACGCCTGGCTAATTTTTTTTTTTTTTTCTGTATTTTTAGTAGAGACAGGGTTTCACCGTGTTAGCCAGGATGGTCTCTATATCCTGACCTGGTGATCCGCCCATCTTGGCCTCCCAAAGTGCTGGGATTTCAGGCGTGAGCCACTGCACCTGGCCTATATTCAGTTTTTCTAAACTCATGTCTTCATATACCAATATTCTTGTCTTCTATACAAAAATTATTCTTTGTGACTCTTTTAAACACAGCATATCAGAACACCAGATATTGAAATATAATTTTATAGTATAGTGTTCACATATAAAACTACATGTATTTTGTGAAAAGGGGAATGTTTGGTTTATGAAAAAGTAAATAATTTTCTGAAGATATCAAACATCTAGCTTCTTCTCAGATCACTGTTATGGCAGTGTTGTTCTTATTTTCCTACTATGTATTTAAATCATATCAATCAACCATAGAAAAACTAATGTATACTCTCCCTTATTTTGCAATTGTGGAGGCCATGAAAATAACAATTAAGAATGAACATTTTGTCTAAGAAATTTAAAAATGGAATTTAGACATTCAGCAAGTATTGCATGAGTGTTCGTTCACCAAGAATGATTTTGAAAGTAAAGCAAGTATCCTGATTATTAAGAATAACAATAATCACAAATTGAGGTTGTCCCAACAAACCAAGAAGGCAAAGTCTCCATAATTATAAATATATCCCTGTCTAACATGTAAACACTTCTTGACTTTATTTAGTTTACCGGACTGACATAACTTTTTTTCTTTCTTTCTTTCTTTTTTTTTTGAGACAGAGTCTCACTCTGTCCCCCAGGCTGGAGTGCAATGGCGCAATCTCGGCTCACCGCTACAGATTCAAGCTTGAACTTTTACAATTTTGAATAATTTTCTGTGCTTTTTTTTGCTAATTTATGTACATTAGTTATAATATGTTTGGTATTTATTGACTGCCCTTTTTTATACCCTTTATTCTTTTATCACATTTATCTTTTTTCTTATTTGTCTGCATATCATGCAGTTTGCTCAGGCTTTCTCTATTAACTCATTTTCATTTTTCCTTTGGGTAAATTCTATACATTGTTATATGTCACATGTATTTATATTATTTATATTATTTACACTTCTAATGTTTACAATACATTTTCTGCTTTTTAAAATTCTGGTTTTATTGTGGATTTATAGAGGAGAGAATTTTCAGATTACCCTTATCACAGATTTTGTTACCAGATGTACTTGAAGTAATTTTCTCCTGTTAATTTAATGTTAGTGTTTTTCCAGAAATCTCTGTCATATTTCATTCTACATTCTGATACACCTATTAAAATATAAAATATGTGTTCTTAAATATATAATATTTTCGGTGTCTCTCTTTTAAATCTTCATACCTGTTTTTTTCTATAAATTTTCTTTTTAAAAACCTTTTCAAACACTCGCTTTTCCCTTAAAAAATATTAGCTACTTGTCCATTTTCCTAGTAACGAACATTTAGATTACATCCAAATATCTTCCACGAGAAACATCGCTATTGTAAAAGTATAATCATAAATGCTATGGTTTTGATGTTTTCCCTCAAAACACATGTGGAAATTTAATCCTAACGTTGGAGGTGGGGTTTATGGGAGGTATTTTGGTCATGGGAAAACATTCTTCATAAATAAACACCTTCTCTGAAGAGTAGAGGAGAGTGAGTGATTTTTTTTCTCTATTAGTTTTCCTGAGAACTAGTTGTTTAAAAAAAAGTCTGGCACCTCCCCTCTCTCTTGCTTCCTCTCTCCACATGTGATCTCTGCACATCTGGCTCCTCAGCCTTCCACCATAGTGGAAGCAACCTGAGGCCCTCATCAGATGCAGATGCTGGTGTAATGAAACTCATACAGTCTTCAGAACTGTGAGCCAAAGAAGCCTTTTTTGTTTATCAATTACCCAATCTCTGTTATTTCTTTATGGCAACAAAAAACAGACTAAGACAATAAAATTTTTGAAAATTTGTTTGGAATATAAATCAATAGATGAAATTGCAGTCTTCAAGTATACACATACTGATTTCACTGAATAAAACCAGATTATTTTCCACAAGACAGATGTTCCTTGATTTATGATGGGTTTGTGTCCCATCATATGTTGACAATATCATAGGTTGAAAATGCATTTAATATGCTAACATATTGAACATCCTGTCTTAGCCTGGCCTACCTTAAACGTGCTAAGAACACTTATAGTAGCCTAGAGTTGGCCAGAGTCTTATAACTTAATGTCTATTTTATAACTTGAACACAGGACATTGGAGAGTACAGTACTCATGAGAGCAGTATTGCTTGGCTGACTGGGAGCTGGGGCTCACTGCTGCTTCCCAGCATAACAAAATAGCATTGTATTGCCTATTACTTGCCTAGAAAAGAACAAAATTCAAATTTGGAGTATGTTTCTACTGAATATGTTTCATCTGCACACCATTGTAAAGTCAAAAAACTGTAAGTCAAACCATGGCAAATCAGGGAACTGTTTGTGTATTTACCAGTTCAAATGCTCAGCAGCATTGGAAAATAGTACTAATCTCCCAAAATAGGATGTTATTCAACGTTCAAAGTTTTACAAGTTGACAGCTTTGAGGTACTATCATGTTGTTTCAATTTTCATTAATCAACTTATGAGCGGCAACACAAAACATAGTCATATATAGCATTTAGTTATCTTACTTTTCCTTTCTATTCCTATTTATTACTTGTGCTCATTTCCATAATGTATTTCACTTCTTTTTCTTGTCAATTTCTAGTTCTTTGTACATTCCAGATATTAGTAATTGTTTTAAAAATTAAGACATTGTAATCATGTTCTCATATTATGGTGACACTTTTATTTCATATCAAGTTTCCCATACGCATGTGTCTATTTCTGAGCTGTCCAGCTGTTCCATTGGTGAGTGTGTTGGTTTTGGCCCTAGTCCCTATATATATTTTACTCTTGCCTTGCCATTATTATTTAATATTTGATACGCTGAGTATCACTCTTTTGGGATTTTTGAAGTACATTTGCTATTTAGAAAGATTTATTCTTTTGCATGCATTATACTATTTTAATAGTTTAACTCTATGGCATACACATGTATACATAAAATTATAAATAAAATTGCTATAAACTACCTCTGCCTTATCCTATAAGTATTTTGGAAGATCTCTGTACAGGCTTCTGTGGCATACATACTTAGAAAAAGCATAACTGTATCATTGAATATGTATGTCTTCAATTTTAATAGATAATGTCTAACAGTTATTCAAAATGTTTATACAATTCACTTCCAATAGCAGTGCTTTGGAATTGCATTTGATTTTTGATGCACAATATTGTTAATCTTTCAAACTTTTTAAAAATTATTTTTTAAAATACAGCCATTTTGGTGGGTGTGCTGTGGTTTCCCAGTTTGAATTTGCATTTTCCTTATGACTGTTGAAGCTGGACACCTTTTTATATGATTCTTGGTCATTTAGGCATCCTCTTGTGATATGCCATTGGAAGCATTTTGTCTAAATTTCTGTAGGGTTGTATGCCATTTTTTCTTAATTTCAAAAATTAAAAAATTATTATAAGTCATTGTTATATAGATGTAAATATGTTTTATACATAATACATATCTTTTAATTATGTAACATTTAATAATGTTTATATGTAATTATATATGGTTTTATGTATACATATTTCTATAAACATATGTGTATTTATTTGGGATTCAAAAAAGCTATTCTTAGGCATCTCTGGCTTTTTATGACTTACTGGTTAGATACAACATTATCGATGACAACAACAACAAAACAAATAAGATCATTTAATGGCTAAGAAAACCTGCAAACTGCACTACCCACCTATGGATAATAATGAATATATATTATAGTGTTGATATACAAAGTTCCTCATTGAGCCATTATTTCACCCAGTAGTACAAATTTACTTCTCAAGTTGCTATGAATTACACACCACACAGAGTTTATATAAAGAACAAGATTAACTTAGGAGTAACAAGACTTTAAATTTTGCTTGAAACCCTAAAATCCCTGAAGCACAGTAAAAAGTACAGTTTCTTAGTTATTGGTGTGTAAACATATAAATCATGAAGGTTTACATAAACAGAATAATATACATGGAATGGATAGATTTTCTATGTTCAATGTAAGTTTTGTGTTTGGACTAAACCTCCGTACTAAAACTCATACCTTAATATATTGGTGCACAAATGGATGTTTGAAATGATAAACTTTCATTCACATATTGAATACACAAACTAAATGCTATTTGTGGTCCCCCCCAAAAAACAACAAACAAAAAAGTTATTGCACAATGTTTATGTTCTTCCATCATTTTCTCCTTTTCTTCAGAGAGTTTATAATATCCAACACCCTTAGTTAGAGGCTTTTGAAGTATAATTATTCTTTAAAGTTCACTATTACAATTCTTAAGGCAGTTAGTACTATATTTAAATATTTTTACTGACCTTGACGTTCGAATTGTAATCTTTACTATTCTTTGTTTGGCAATTCATTATTTGGGCTCCAGTGGTATTTACTTATTATTGATACATGCCTCTTCAACTTGGATGACTTAACAACCACTTTCCTTTGCTGTTTATCATTGATGTGATAATTTCAGACATATTCTTGCTTTCATGTTTCTCTTAGACCTGTCTTAAATAATTTGTAACATAACCCGATACTTTATCTTTTATGTAGTGTTTTACACATGATATACCCATTTGGTACAGTTATAATTTAGATATGTTTGATGCTGAGATTATTTAGCAATTTAATTCAATATAACTTACAACTATTGAGCACCTATTACATGACAATAATTGAGTTAATTTTAATGAAGGAACAAAGTTGAATAAGGCAGTCACTACTGAGAAGTACATATTTATTCACAAATTTAGGTAATTAAATAGTAATTGTGAGCAAAGTACATATGGTAAGTGTCAAATCCAGGCAAAAATACCACAGTTAGGTGGGCATCTCTCTTTTAGGCATATTTACATGCCATAAGAAATAATCTAAAGAACTCTGTCTTCATGGATCATAAAAATAAGAGACAATTCAACCTTAGCCTGACTCCCATACAAATTGGTCAATTACATTGTTATTTGATTTTAATATATTTCTCAACTGCCACTATACCATCAAGTAGAAACTTTGCAAAAAATAATAATAAAGTATCTACCTTAAGACTTCTGGAAATTCATTCAATTATATCCAATATAAAACAATATATGTTTGTTATTGGAAAAAGTTATACATTCATATTTAATAAAGATTTGATAAAATCGTGATAACACGAAGAGCAAACTGCTAATTGAATTTCCTAGAGAATATAAAATGATCTAAAGTGAAAGAAATTATATTGTACTGTAAAGTGCAGAGGCAAAATCTGTTTTGTGGAAACACACTGGCATAAGTAAGAGTGTCATAAAAGTAAAAGCAGTGCCTAAGGCATAGAAAATGTAATAGATCAATATAAAATGTGTCATAAGAAATTAAATCTAGATACATGACTCAGATACACCATATCGTTGAAGATAGGATTAGTGATGGCAACTCTATAAAGATGAAACCTACACTATTGGATCAATATTCAATATGATTCAATTTTTCCTTGTTTGTTTTATTGTAAATAACTAAAAAAGAAACACATCCAGTTGTAATCTGACACAAAAGACTCCAACAGTGTGGATATGAAATGTGTTTTCTTAAGTTGCAAAATATTTCACAGATGAAGGGAATGCTCATTCAATGTCATCATTTTAACTTTGTTTTTATATACATATTTTAAAATATTTGTAAAAAACACAGGTTAAGTTAGCTGTACTCATGCTAGCTATTACTTTTATGTGAAAATATTGTATTAACTTATAGCAAATTTGTATGAATTTAGCTCAGCAGTGTAGCATATAACCTAGTATTTCTTGGAAAACATACACATGCTGTCTCTCACACACATATTAATACATGAAGTGAATTCTGGAATAATTTAATAATTAGAAGACTTAAGAAAAACAATGATTCTATGACTTGAGAAGTAAAGTCTGAGTTAACAGAGGGTATGTTTTATATGTATAGTAAAACAAGGAGTAATGACAAATGTAGTTAAAAATGAGGAGTATCTGGCACCCATAAGAGCAATTTTAAAGTAAAATCTATAATTTCATCAGTTACAGCATTCAAAATTTATTATTGACTTTTATTAGATGAGAGAAAGAAGAAAATTCTTTTTTTTTGTAACTTTTCATTCAACGAAATATGTGTTCCTTAAAGAAGAATGTTAAAAGGGTAAGGAACAAATTTCACTGGTGAAATACTGTTGAGAGGGGTAAAAATCTTATCATGGTAGAAAGAATAACCAAGACAAAGGAAGAGACACAGGAAACCAGTGCATTTGACTATTGTGTTAGAATCATCAGATGCTCGGCTTTTAGGTATAGACTTATCAAAATTGACATGGTTGCAACAGATAAGGATAAGCTCAATAATTAAAATACAAAACAACAGAGATTCAAGAAAATGGCCTCAAGAACGATGTCAAAAATTATCTGGCCTATTGGTATACTTAAGGAAGATAAAGTACTATTGTAAACAACTTACAAATGATAAAGCAAAAAATTGTGATGGACAAATTACAAATGTCTATAAAAGTAAAATACTCCACAAAATAGTAATATTGTTCTACTTAGTAACAAAAAATAATTTGCTCACTTTGTTTATTTTCTAATTTAATCTAGTTACCACAATATTATGCATCTATTTTAATTCAAGAAGGTTGCATTTCCTGTATTTTAGGAGGACTCAAAATGCCCGGTGAAAGGTGTGAGACACTGTATATTGTCTAATGAAATGTCAATTACTATTGAGATGTAACAAGTGATGTCTGGGAATAAATGCTGTGGCTAGAAAACTTTACATGGGTGACATTTCCACAACCATGCAATTTGCTTATTAACAGGTATTCTGTGACCAATCACTCCACTATTATTTACTAATAAGATCTTAAGGATGGTTTTATATTATGTTAAAATGTTACTTTGTACTTTGGAACACAAAAAATCATAAACCAAATCAGAATATGGATTCAATAACAAACGCTAACATCAAAATATCTTTATTACAATGATAATTTTTATAATTATGAACTAAGAACGTTAATTAGCAGGTGATATCTCCTCTTTTTCTCTCTGTTCCCGTTGCCACATTAGCAACAGAGTTAATAAATGTATATTTTATTTACTCACAATGCAAACCAAGCAAAATTTGACATAAACACTATACTAGGTTCATTCCCAGGAGCAGCCTCTAATTCTTTCAATAGGCTTGAAACTGACACACAGTCTTCTCATACCCCTATAATGGGCTGCTCCAAATTTGATGATTTAGTCAGACTTTGTTAGATAAATCTTCTTTTCTACAAAACACTATTCCACTGCACTTTCTAGGCCTATATTTAATTTTCTTAACAGGAAAATTTTAAATCTTGAAAAATTTATCTGTTATTATACTAAAAAAAAGAGAAAAAGGCCCAATCAGCCTTTGTGTGTGTGTGTGTGTGTGTGTGAAGAATAGGGCTATTCTCGTCATAAATCCCAGAAATTCTAAGTTGAGGACTGGTGCTTTATAGCGATACCCAACTTAGAATTTCTGGGATTCATGAAGTAGAATGAATTTGATTAAGGGAAAATTTTATCAGCATCAAGCAGCACTATGAAATTTATTGAAAAAAGTTTGAGCACACATCATGTGTGTGTATATCCAGTAAGTTAAACACTACCATAATGTAATATCAATACGGCACATCAATTTGCAATTGGCTTGGCATTTGCAAATTACTTTCCCAAATATTGCTTCATTTGTAATTATAAAAATAATTATAAATATCATTTACATTTAAATTATGATAAAATTTATTGTAGACTACTTGTTAAAGATTACAAGGTAATAATTAGCAGAGTGGAACTCAAATCCAAGCTCTGACTTTTTGCGATCTTTTTATTTTATGACACTTGCTGCTAAATAATTGCAAAAATAAAATATTTTGTTTCGTTTTCTTTGAATGTTAAAGATTCCTTGTTGTTTTTCCTCATCTCCTCTCCTCTTCTGTTCCAGTGAAAAAGACCTCTGATTTTTAGCTGCTGTGTTACAGGATAGAATAAATATTATTTCCTAAACCTCCTCGCAGGAGGGTGGGGACATGCATCTGAATTATGGCCAATGAGTTGCATATGTGAAACAAAATAAGTGAAACTTTGCTAATGTACATTTTCTTAATTTTTATTTTTAGTTCTGGGGTACATGTGCAGGATGTGCAGGTTTGTTACATAGGTAAATGTGTGTCATGGTGGTTTGCTGCACCTATGTACTCATCACCTAGATATTAAGCCCAGTATGCATGAGCTATTTTTCCTAATCCTCTCGCTCCCCACACCCCGACAGGTCCCAGTGTGTATTGTTCCCCTCCCTGTGTCTATGTGTTCTCATTGTTCAGCTCCGATTTGTAAGTGAGAACATTCAGTGTTTGGTTTTCTTGGGTTAGTTTGCTGAGGATAATGGCTTCCAGCTTTCATATATATATATATATATATATATATATATATTTTTTTTTTTTTTTTTTTTTTTAAGACAGTGCCTTGCTCTGTCACCCAGTCTGGAGTGCAGTGGTGTGATCTCAGTTCACTGCAATGTCCGCCTTCTGAGTTCAAGTGATTCTCCTACCTCAGCCTCTGGAGTAGCCGGGACTACAGGCGCATGCCTCCATGCCCAGCTACTTTCTGAATTTTTAGTAGACACACGATTTCACCACGTTACTCAGGCTGGTCTTGAACTCCTGAACTCTAGTGATCCGCCAACCTTGGCCAGCTTCCACACTTTTAAAGGGAGAGATATTTCTCCTCTTCCTTCTATTCTATGACCCTGACAACTGATGTTTTAAGGAGAGATCTTGGAACAAAAGGAAAAAAAATTCTCAGGATGCTAAGAAATAAAAAAGAAAAGAAAAGCATAGGTTCTTTTTTTTTTTTTTCGAAGTCTTGCTCTGTCGCTAGGCTGGAATGCAGTGGCAAGATCTCAGCTCACTGTAACTTCCGCCTCCCGGGTTCAAGCTATTCTCCTGCCTCTGCTTCCCGAGTAGCCGGGATTACAGGCGTGTGCCATGATGCCCGGCTAGTTTTTGTATTTTTAGCAGACATGAGGTTTCACCATGTTGGCCAGGCTGGTCTTGAACTCCTGACCTCAGGTGATCCACCCACCTCGGCCTCCCAAAGTGCCGGTATTACAGGCGTGAGCCACCACAGCCAGCCAACATGGGTTCTTAAATTAACCACTGCAGTAAATTTATCAAGCTGTCTGTTATGGAATGAACTATGCACCACCACCTCCAAATTCATATGCTGAAGCCTTAACCTCCAATATTACTGTATTTGGATGTTGGGCCTTTAATGAGGTAATTAAAATTAAATGACCTTATAAGGAGTTGGTCCTAAGCTGATAGGACTGGTGCCCTTATAAGAAGATAAAGAGACACCGAAGTTCTCTCTCTCCACTCACACGCAGGGAAAAGACCAGGCAAAGTCACAGAAGAAAGATGGCTATTTGCAAGTCAAGAGAAGAGGCCTCCCTAGAAAGCAACCTTGCTAGCATCTTCGTCTTGAAAGTCCAGTCTCCGGTACTATGAGAAAATACATTTCTGTTTTTAAAGCCACCCAGTCTATGGTATTTTGTTATAGCAATCCCAGCAGACTAGCATACTATTGCTTGAATATCTGTCTATCCTATAAAGCAGCAGTCCCTAACCTTTTTGTCATGAGGGACCAGTTTCACTCAAGATAATTATTCTACAGACTAGGAGGGGGAGGATAGTTTGGGGATGATTCAAGCACATTACATTTTTGCACACTTTATTTCTATTATTACATTGTAATATAAAATGAAATAATTATACAACTCACCATAATGTAGAATCAGTGGGAGCCCTAAGCTTGTTTTCCTGCAACTAGACAGTCCCATCTGGGAATGATGGGAGACACTGAAAGATCATCAGGCATTAGATTCTCACAAGGAGCACACAACTTTGATCCCTCGCATGTGCAGTTCACAATAGTGTTCGTGCTCCTATGAGTATCTAATGCAGCTGCTGATCTGACAGGAGGTGGAGCTCAAGCAGTAATGCAAGCAATAGGGAGCAGCCTCAAATACAGATGAAGCTTCGCTGGCTTGCCCGTCACTCACCTCCTGCTGTGTGGCCTGGTTCCTAACAGGCCAGGGACTGGTACCAGTCTGTGGCCCGGGGGTTGGGGACCCCTGCTATAAAGGATAATGTCTTAATAGATTATTGGCAATATTGTGGAAAAAAAAAATGTTTCCTAAGAAAAGTCAGCGTTTTCCATACTTTGATGTGACAATTTCAGAAGCAGAATAAAGTTGTCATTTTTCTGTACTCTTTAATAATTATTAAAAATTATTATATTATTATACTATCAGCTGTAGTATAACAATACTACAATAATACAATTATTATAGTTTCAGCTATACAAACACTTTCAGCTGAAAATGTTACATCATCTGTCTAATTTACATTCATTTCCTCTTTAATGTCTGATTCTAAAATAGAACTATCAGATGTCTTATTTTGAAAGCAAACTAATGTCATAGTCCAAAGGTGAATCTGAGGTCAAAATTCTTAAAAATGTAAATAAAGTTAATTAAAGATAAAATAGCTAATAGTAAAAAGCAATTACACCTTTATCATCTTTCATATCAAACTAAAAATTATAGTGCCTTTCAAGTTATTTTATTCTGCCTACTTTTCCTCATTTTTTCTAAAAAACTCTTGAAAACTGTATTCTTTGTTATCAAAAACTTCCTTTCTTCCCACTCAGTTTGACCCTTCATAAAACAGTTTTCACCTTCTGGGTTGTACTGAAACATCTTTAACTACTTTACTCTGTTCTTACCTTCCTCTTCAAATTTGCTTTTGTTGTTGACATAATCAATCACGCACACCTGTAATGCCTTCCATTGCTCTATCATCTCCTGTTGTTTTTCATCTCCCGTTGAACTGGAGTATGCCTTAGAGACAAAGAAGAAAAATAAGACAGCAACAACTTTTTATGATAGTTAAAGATGATAGAACAACTTAGACCTTACTTTCATAAAAACTTTTATTAACTGAAAATAGCAAGAATAACACAAAAGTATTTACACAGAAATACATTATTTACAGTGAGATAACACTGGCATCATTTTTCTAACCAATATTACTTAAACTAAGAAATTTATATATTTAAGAAAATTACACATATTATTTTGTTTTCTTCTTCTTTTTATATTTTTAATTGGAAATATACCTCATATGCATTAATTAGAATTTAATTGCATAAGCAAAAATTATTTAATAACCAAGTTATTTGAGGTTTTAAGGCACCTAGTAATAATATATTTATTATGTTATGTAAATAATAAATATATGTAAGAAAAACTAATCAGTCTTCATTTTTAGAACTAGGACAAATTTTACTACAATGTTTGATATTGAATATTTATAGTCTATCTCTCAAAAATAAGCTAAGTAATGTATTTACACATGCAATTAAAAACATTAGTCATAATAAATATTACATTTCATTATGAATGAAACCTAATGACTCATAGTCTTACCTTGCAGTAAGGATCCACTTAAACATTAGTATCAACATGTAGAGAACCATTTGCATTTTTAAATGTGCCATTTAACTCATTAGTAAAAACAATGGATTGAATTGTGTCCTACCAGGATTCATAAGTTTAAAAGATAACAGGCATGCATGATGGCTCATGCCTGTAATCCCAGCGCTTTGGGAAGCTGAGTGGGGAGGCTCACTTGAAGCCAAGAATTTGAGATCAGCCCGGGCAACAGAATGAGACCTCATCTCTACAAAAAAATAAAGAATTTGCTGGGTGCGGTGGTGTATGCCTGTAGTCCTAGTTACTCTGAAGGCTGAGGCAGGAGGATTGCTTGAACCCAGGAGGTTGAGGTGGCAGTGAGCTAGGATCCCGCCTCTGTACTCCAGCCTGAGCGACAGAGCGGGACTCTGACTCGAAAACAAAAACAACAATGAAAAAAGAAAGTAACATAGACCAAAGACCTTAACAGACACCTCATCAAAGAATATACACAGATAGCAATTAAACATATAAAATGTTCTACATCATACATCATGAAGGAAATGTATATTAAAACAACAAGATATTAGATATTACCATACACCTATTAGAATAGCCCAAATCCAAAACACTGAAAACACTACAGGCTGGAGAGGATGTGAAGCAATAAAAATGCTCATTCACTGCTGGTAGGAAAACAGAATGGTCTGCCCACTTTAGAAGACAGTTTGATGGTTTCCTAAAAACCTAAAAATACTCTTAATATAGGATCCAGCAATCACACTTCTTGGCATTTACCCAAGGAGTTGAAAATGTATGTTCACACACACATAAAACCCAGCACACAAATGTTTATAGCAGTTTTACTTAATAATTTTCAAAATGTGGAAATAACCATGGTGCCCTTAAGTAGGTAAATAGATAGATAAACTGCGGTATATCCAGACAATGAAATATTATTCAACAGTAACAAGAAATAAACTTTCATGCCATGAAATGACATGTAGAAACATTAAATGCATATTACTAAGTGAAAGAAGCCAAACTGAGCAGGGTACTTACTGTATGATTTAAACTATATAATGTTCTAGAAAAGATGAAGCTAGGAAGACAGTAAAAAGATCAGTGTTGGCCAGCGGTTAGGAGGAAGGGAGGGATGAATAAGAGAAGCACAGAGGATTTATGGAGCAGTTAAAATACTCTCTCTGATATTATAATAGTGGATACATGTCATTATATATTTTTTTTAATCTATAGAATATTCAACAAGAAGAGTGAACCTTGATTTAAACTAAGGATTTGTGATGATAATGATATGTCAATGTAGGTTAATCAATGTAACAAATGTAGCACTTTGGTGTGGGGATGTTGATAATTGGGGAGATCATGCATGTATGGGGCAGGAGTAATTGGTAAATTTCTGTACCATCTTTTCAATTTTCCTCTGAACTTGAAACTGTTCTAAAAAATAAAGACTATCACAAAGAAAAAAGGCAAAAAAAGAAAAATTATATACCGAAGTGCTTACCCCCAGTACCTCAGAATGTGACTTTGAGAATAGGATTACAGCAGATACACATAATTAACAAAGTTACAATGAGACTGGAATAGGGTAGGTCCCTGATCCAATATGTCTGGCAGATATTTGGACATAGGCATGCACACATGGAGAAGCCCATATGAAGATAAAAGCAGAGAGTGGCAGATGTGGAAGACTAGGAATGCCAAAGATGGCCAGTAAAGCACCGGAAACTGAGAAAGAAGCATGGAACAGATTCTTCCTCACAGCCTTCAGGAGGAATCAACTCTGTTGACACCTTAATCTCAAGCTTTTAACCTCCAGAGATGAGAGACAATAAGTTCCTATTGCTTAAACTGATCAAGAAAGCCGTAATTTTCTGCTCAGCTTGATGAAACTTTAGACAGCACTCTTCCTGACTATAGAATTTTCTTAGAGCATTCACTTAAACTTGCAATTTAAATTTTTTTCTCTTTTTTGAGATATAAATCTTCTTCCATTCCTTTACCTGTTTTATAATTCATGAATTCTTTCTCAAGGACTTGGGAGCCACCCCTTTGAAATGTAAACATCAGATTAGAGCCCCTACCTCCCCTCCCCCATCTCTGTGGGATAGTAGGAGTCTGTTTTACATAGCAATTAGCAAACACAGATGACCTACTCATCTTGACCAACCTGCCCTCTGTCCTCCTCCAATACTTTTTTATTAGCTCACCCTAGTACCTAGAAACTCGCTCACCTTTTGTTTTCTCAGCAAAGTTGAGTCAATTCTCTCTTTCCTATTAGAGTAGTCCTGAATAAAGTCTTCCTTCCATGTTTAACTTATCCAGTACAATTTTTCTTAGTTCATGGAACTTTGTTACAAAAGCCCTAGCAAATTCATACTCCACGGATTGTGTACAGTACATTTGGTAAATTAATAATACTCAAATGCTAGATTTAGAAAGAGTGGGCATTAGAGGAGCAAGAGTTCCATATGTAGAACTGAATAGCTAGTTACACTTCGCTATATATAGTTCACACAAATCTAAGACACAGTTTTGGCAGCTATCGAATAGCATAAAAAGAGCATCAACTAAGTGTATGTTGAGACATAAATGAGATAAGATATGCAAAGTATTGAAGGCACGGTTAGCGTTCATTTATAATCTCAAATGTTAGCACATATATTTATTTGTATATATATACATATAGACATGTGTGTGTATAAAAGCTTATATATACATATTTAGTCATATTTAGTTACTATTATTAAATGTAGATATTCTAAAATTTTTGTGTAGATATAGGTGTGATTAATATTAAATTTTGTAAAAGCACTGCTGAATGATCTTATGTTTCTTATTTTCATTTCCTTTGTAGATAGATGCTAAAGGCATTACCTGCTTATAACTCTTCAGAGAATCCCTCTCATGGAGAGAAATGAGACAATGCATACAAGTTTTTTCTTAGATATTTCTGTAGCATCACATCTCACAACTCCCCACCATGCTTTTATAATATGCATTTATTTGTCATTTCCTTTTATACAACGTATTTTTCAGGCCATCTTTCTTTTCCTTATGCTAATCCCTGTTAGGAAAGCCCTTATCTCTGTTCTTCGCCAGCCATACTCATGCTCATTTCTTCCAGAGTGACCCTAGGCACTGTCTCTTCTATGAAATCCTCCCTGAATGAAGAGGTTGAAAGAATTACTGCTGTGGTGTGGGGTGATCTTTGTGTCTTCTTGTTCTTGAACACTTTCCATATTACATACAAATAATCAGTTTTTATGCCTGATTTCCTCAGAAGATTGTAAAGTCCTTGAGGGCATAGTCTAGGGCTGGTATTTTATAAATGTTCAATAAATGTCTGTAAAAACAAACAGAACTGTCAATTCTGTTTTTTTCTAGGTAACATATGGGTAAGTAAATATTTTGTATTTGCTTACAATCATATAAATTATTGTTATCAATATATCCAAATCAATGTAACTCATGGATTTAATGTACATAATTTAAAGACTTTTAATTTAAATATCAGTAACCAAACCACTGTTCCTGTAAGAAAAAGTGGCTGTTTTCTTCCCTAAAACCTTCTAATTTTATATGAATACTCAAACATTTCACTTTATTTTCCAAAAGTTCTACTTTCCCACTCCTCCCTAGACTGCTGAACTCTCACAGTGGTTGCATCTGCCACTCATGTGTTTACACAGTGAAAATAAATCATTCTGTGTGAGAAAATAAAAAGGATGAAGAAGAAATACAAAATACTATGTGTTTCAACATTCAAGTCTTAGATATTTGACATGGTGTCACACAGTTGTAATCTGATACACCAGTTGTCAAATGCTATCTTCAGCCCTGTTCATCTTTCTAACCTCTAATTCTGTGCAGTAGGACCATGTTGTAATTCATTAATTAGTGTAATGTGCTAATTAAATTACTAAGGATGGGATTTTCTTCTGAACCAACATTTCTGAGTAAATCAATGTTCCCAAATGTATCCTCTGAGTCTGTAACCAAGCCATTATCCCTTACATCTGGATAACTGGAACCACTTCCTAACACATGTCTTTGCCTTCTCATTTCCACTCCTATGATCCATTCTCCACACTACAGTCAGTGTGAAATTGTACCACACAAATCAGATTATGTTATTTTCTTTCTTAAAAACCCTCCAATGGCATTCTATTGCCTTAAAATAAAATCTAAACTTCTTCCCATGACCTTGTAGGCAGTACAGAGAGGACCCCTGCCTTATTGCTTCCCCACTCCCTCTCACACACTTACTACAGTCCACAGGCTTCACTCCGATCCTCAAGCATACCATGTTTTTTATTTTTATTTTTTTGTGATCTTTGAAGGCACTGATGTCTCTACTCCCCAGAAAATTCTGACTGTAAATTTCTTTATGAGTGTCCCCTTCTCATTTTTCAAATTGCTACTCACAGTGACATTTCTTGACCCCCAGTCTAAAGGATGTTGGCGGTTGAATAAATAAGAGAAACTTGGCCTTTAAACATTTATTGAATAACTAATATCTTTTATAGAACTGTTGGGACATTCATATTAGCTTGTTACACTATTATATACTAGTTAGACCAATGACTGGTATGTAATAGTGTAAAAAATAATGTGTTTTTATTTTATTATATTATAATAATTGTATATTATTATATTATAATATTGTATATTATTATATTATATTATAATAATTATATATTATTATATTATATTATAATAATTATATATTATTATATTATAATAATTATATATTATTATATTATATTATAATAATTATATATTATTATATTATAATAATTATATATTATTATATTATACTAATATATTATTATAATATTATATTATAATAATATATTAGTATAATATAATATTATAATAATATATTAGTATAATATTATATTATATTATATTATATTATATTATTATATATAATATATATTATATTATATATAATAATATAATATATTTTATATTATATATAATATTATATTATAATAATTATATATTATATTAATATATAATAATTATACATAGCATTATATAATAGTATAACAAGCTAGCATTTATTGGGCTATAAGTATAGCATGCAGTGTTTTAAGTTATAATTGTAATTTTTAACAGTTAAAATATGATCTAGGTGCTATTTTATCCTCCTGTTATCAAGGAAGACCTTTAGGCACAAAAAGGTTAAATAACTTGGCCAAGGTTGCACATCATATATGTGAGTAAATGGAGATTCTTACACAAGCACCAATATTCACATACGCTACATTGAAAAACTACATTGCAAATATTATTCCTCTGCAATTCACCTATCATCATTACTATGAGAAAGTATGCAACTGTGCAACCTCAATTCAATACTACCGTAAATTGAGCAATCTTTTTAATTCAGTCACAAAAGTGAAGTTCAATTTGTTAATTAAAATCCAGGGTAATTTTCTATCTATTCTTAATAATAAAACAAATTTTTTCTTACATAACTTTCCATGTATTTATCTTATATTTCTGTAAGGTATATGTATGCATAAATTGTATTTACATTTCATTTTCAAGTATAAGAATATGTTTTTGCTTGAGTTGGCACAACTGAAGTCACACATTTAAAATAATAGCATGATGTATAAATGTAAATCAAATGCATTTAAATGAATATGTACTTACCACTTATGTGTACTCAAAGACAAACTGGGGATAAAAAGAAAGTAATATAGAATAATTCCAATTTTAGGAAATATTTTAATACAAGTAAGTGAACAAAAGGCAGAGAGTATTATATATTTTCAGCAGATAATGGTAAATGCCAATAGTTGCTGCAGTGTTCTAAAGTGATAAAGAACAGAATTGGCTCAAGATCCAAGTGTTAAAGGATAATAATACAAGACGGCATCACAGGAAGGGTATAATTTTGACAGGCAGAAATTAACAGGGACCAGTCGGGGTTTTAACACTATAATTCTTTCTAGGAATAGCAGATTAACTTGAGGAAGGGCTAGGGTCCCAAGAAGCTAAGGCACCCATGGTTGATTAATTAACCTGGGAAGTGAGTCTAGAAAGTAAAGTTGTAAATATAAGTCCCATCTCTGCATTAGTACACAGTATGAGGCAATAATGTTATAGTGTGTTTTGCAATCAATGAATCGTTCTGAAAAAGAGAGAAAGAAGAGAGAGAAAGAGAGAATTAGAGAACTAGAACAAAAAGTAGATTAAGTCTTTCCCCATTTCATGCTTTGGAATGAGGAAGAATTTGTTCAGGAGGAACCATGGTTTATACACAAACACACAGGGATTTAATATCTTGCATGTGAGAAATTGTATTGACTATGAGTTCATTAGATCACAGTGCAAGTCTCTAGAAAGACTGGCTATTGTGAGAAACTAGAGTTTCCTGAAGCAGAGACAAATGAGTACATTTCACTTAGTAGAGTTCTTTCAACAACAAATCTGAGAACTGAATCCAGAAAAGCACTTAATTCCAGGTTCAGCAGCTGGAGGAGGTGAAAATATTTTGGAGACATAACTTTTCAGTAACTATGTGCAGTTCAAGATGTAATATTGCATGCATTTTATAATCCCTGTGGTTAACAAAAACTTTTTTTTTTTTTTTTTTTTTGGAGATGGAGTCTTGCTTTATCTCCCAGGCTGGAGTGCAGTGCTGCAATCTCAGCTCACTGCAACCTCCACCACCCAGGTTCAAGCTGTTCTCCCACCTCAGCCTCCCAAGTAGCTGGGATTACAGGTGCATGCCACCATGCCCGGCTAATTTTTGTATCTTTTTTTAGCAAAGATGGGGTTTCACCATGTTGGCCCAGCTGGTCTTGAACTCCTGACCTTGTGATCTGCCCGCCTCGGGCTCCCTACGTGCTGGGATTACAGGGGTGAGCCACTGCACAAAGCCAACAAATACTCTTAAAATAAATTTATGCCACAAATTTGTCCTATTTTTCAAAAATTCTGAAAGCGCTGTTCAAAAAGCAAATATATTTCTTATGATATTTCCAAAAACTTGCTTGTTTGGAAGTTCAAGAGACAGAAAAATCTTTATTGGGAGTCAACAATTATTTTTCAGTGAAATGCTTGCCATTGGTGGCTCAGCCTGGTTTGGAGGTATCTGTGCCCTCTTGATTAGGGCCGTCAAGTCTCTGCAGCAGCATGTACTTCCCCTTGTTGTTTATCAGTTGTGAAGCCGTAAAGTCACTTTCCGCTTCAACTACAACTTGGAGGAGGTCACATTTATATTTCTCAGCTTGAGTGGAAGAGGGATTCCACCCTTCTAAGTATTTCTTTTTTTATTCATGGTCAGATTTACCCTCTGCTAAACACAGCTGGCAAAAATCCACAAAGCTGAAAACTACTTGATTATATTAAGGGAAAAAAAGAGAAGTATTTTCTGTAGCAGAATGTTTCAATTTTCTTCTTTACTGTTTGAAAAATAAACTCCAGCTGTTGTGAAATAGGGGAAAAAAGAAAAATAAATACAATGATTTTAGCTGTATAACTTGGTTCATGTGATCTCAGAGCAGGTTTTCTAAAAATACTGATCTACCTTCAGGATCAGAACTATTTAGTATTTGCTGATATTTAGATTCCTGATTCATACCATTTCTCCCTCTCTTTTTTTTTTTTTTTTTTTTTTTTTTTAATAGAGATGGGCTCTCACTGTGTTGCCCAGGCTGGTCTTGAACTCCTGGGCTCAAGTGATCCTCCTGTCTCAGCCTCCCAATGTGCTGGAAATACAGGTGTGAAACACTGTGCCAGGCCCAAACCACTTCTCATTTGAGTTAGAATATCTGTAGAGTAGAGGCTCTGTATTGTTTCATGCATTCCACAACTTCTGTTATGCTAATTTATGCTAATTACTGAGAAATTTTGTCCAAAATCTCCCAACTGCCTATAATCCAAATTCCATGATTCATATTACAAAATTAATTGAAAACTAGTCCTAGCACTTTTAAAATCAGTTTCCCTTTCACCTTATTTATTTAACAAAAACATACATAGCACTTACCTTATGCCAGTCACTGTTCCAGGCACTTTACAAATGTTAACTTACTTCCCATATAAACATTATTTTCTTCACTATATAGATAAAGGAAGTAAAGTACAGGAACAATTTAGGTCACACGACTAAAGAGAAGTCAGTATAACGAGCGTGAATTTCCAACATTTTGGTTTCAGAGTATTTTCCTTTCCCTCCACAATTATGCTATTTTATTGCTCTAAACTTTGCATATTGAATATACAGGTTTTTGTCAAACTTGATGTGGGTCTGTCTTTAGGAGATTTTCTTTACTCTGTTGTTTCTTCTTGGGAATCAGACATGGTAATTCTGATTGCTTTTTTAAAAAAATATGAAATATAATTTCATTTCCCTGATGCATCCTTTTTCAATCACTTTCTACCTTCATCTCCAGTGATGTAGGTTCTTCCTTTCTAAAGAAGAAATAAAACACATCCCTTCATCTTTCACAGAGTAATATTTCATCATATTTTAAATAAGGGAAGTGGTTCCTGTTCACCTATATCACAAGTGATAGTATTTTAGGAAATACTTGGAGAAACCATAAAATAAAATATCAATAGAAGATGACTTAAGGATAAAATCCAATATTTACTGAGAGATTACCATGTACCAGATATTATACTGAGTATCATTTTTCATATGTTAAGCATATCATGGCCTCTTAATGACCCTATGTATTGGGTGCCAATAGCATTACTTTATACCATTGAGGACACTGAGGCACAGTAAGGTTAAGAATAAAAGAGGCTAAGAACTAGTATTCGAACCCAGGCAGTCTGATGTTAGAGGACAAGAATATAACTTCAGCATTCTATTATTTTCAGTGGGAGATAAAAAGGAGGCAATGTTTTTGTGTCAGAGTTTATATTTAATCTTCTGGCTGGGTTTGGTGGGAATTCACAGTAAGGCCAAGACTGCACAATGAACCTTATCAGGCAAATAAAAGATAGGAAAGTAAAAAGGAAAATGTGTGTGTTCTCTATTAAAGTAAATGATATCTTATATCTTCAGATATGTGTATGTTCTCTATTAAAGTTAAATGATATCTTATGCCTTCAGATGTACACCATTACATGTGTAAGTATGAATCAGAGATACTTAGTGCAAATAAGTACCACTTATGAATAATTTTCAGGCCACTTGACATTAGGTAATAAAAACCTTCTCTGCCAATTATCATCTAAATATATTAAGCTTTTTTGAAGAAGGGTTCAGACATATATATTTATGCATATTTGATATGCACAGGAGGCAGAGAAATACTGGGTAGAAGAAGGTGGTTCCCAGTAAGGGCCACACCCTCAAGCGTGGAACAATGCCCCAAAGTGAGAACATGCATTCCTGTTTTCCTACTTGAATGTTGCTTTTTGGCCCATCCCACCCCCCATTCTGTACCCATAAAAACCCTAGGCTCCACTGGCAGAGGGGCACCAGCACAACAGAGTGGAAAAGTGGAGGAGAAGAGAGGGAGAGTGGAGAAAAAGCAGCCAGACATTGGAGAGAACCATCTTGACTTCAGAGGAATGGCTTGACAGTGAGACTTTGGAGAAGAGTTTGACTGCAGACTGCCGAACTCCAGGAAAGACCACCTTTGCACTCCATTCCCTTTCCAGCTCCCCATCCCACTGAGAGCCATTTCCACTGCTCAATAAAATCCTACACATTCGCCACCCTTCAGTCCATTCATGTGTCCTGGATGCCAGGACAAGAACTCAGATACCAAGATGGAGGGTGCAAAAGGCTGTCACCCTGACCCTCCACTGAGCTGTTAAACACTGAAACCATCTGTGGATGGCAAAGCTAATACATGCTGGGTGTTTGGGGTCATGGGTATCCCTCTAGATGCTGCTGCAGGGCCACTTGGAGTTCATCCTGGCTGCTGCACTCACTCACCTGCGTGTTCCCGTTCCCATGAGGGGTTGAGAGCTGTGGACTGCGTAAATGAGTCAACCTCTTCACAAGTACCATGAAGGGGTCCATAGAACTACCCTGTTTTATCTTCATATTCACAAACACAGTCAAACACACATACATATATTTCTGTTTCATAAACAAACAAACCAGAGGCGCTTATGTCCATTACACTTTTCAATCACAGCTATTAAAATGTCATACTGGTTGCAATTTAGAAAAGGACAAATAGTAGTCTTGTTTTCTAGCTCTATATCTCAAGATACATATTAAATAATTATACATATTAAATAATAAAGAGAACGGAGATTCAAAAAGGGCTATGACCAGATGTTAATCTAATTAAAATAACAAATGTGGAAAAGGAGGCATACTTCAAGTAAAAATTGTTCAACATTAAAAGTTGTATGGAGGCCGGGTGCAGTGGCTCATGCCTATAATCCCAGCGCTTTGGGAGGCCGAGGTGGGTGGATCACGAGGTTAGGAGATCAAGGCCATCCTGGCCAACACAGAGAAACCCTGTCTCTACTAAAATACCAAAAAAAATTAGCCGGGTGTGGTGGCATGTGCCTGTAGTCCCAGCTACTCGGGAGGCTGAGGCAAGGGAATCCCTTGAACCTGGGAGGCGGAGCTTGCAGTGAGCTGAGATTGCACCACTTCATTCCAGCCTGGTGAAGAGTGAGACTCTGTTTCAAACAAAACAAAACAAAACAAAACAAAACAACAAAAGATGATGGACGATGTGGCTCTGAGATACAGTGAAGCAGAAAAAGCAAGTTGATCTCTCTGAAGTTAATATGGTACAATCAACTCAAACACTAGGCAGGCAGTTAGATTGAATGTCTTTTAAAAAATTAAAACATATAGTATATTGCTTTTTTCCATGAATACAAGAAATAACACAGTGTAAAATCAGGAGTTCTCATCTCAGAGCACAGCTCAACCCACTGAAGGTTCTCACAGGTGCAGATTTGTTTTAATTGAAAAACAAAAATGTATATATATCTCTTCTGTGCAACATTGTTGTTTTGAAATATGTATACATTATGGAATGCCCAAAGGGTCTGGGGGTGTGGGAAGATATTGGTTAAATGATACAAAATTTCTGTTAGGAGGAATAAGTTCAAGTGATTTATTGTACAATGTGGTGACTACAGTTAAAATTGTATACTTGAAAACTACAAATAGAGTACATGTAAAGTTTTCTAACAATTAAAAAAGGATAATTATGTGAGGGAATGAATATATTGATTAGCTCAATTTAGCCATTCCACAATGTATTGTAAAATTTTATATACAAAATGGCATCCGTGGTTCAGAGCTCTAAAATGGAGCCTGGAAGCCATTCTAAGAAGGACTCCCTGCATGACCTTGCAAAACTGTAGCTTGCCTTGAGTATTTCAACTGGGCCGTATCACCACAACAACATTCTGGACAACAGCTAAATTTCACCAGCACTGCAATTCCTGAACAGCAACAATCATGAAGTATGGACTCATACTAAACTAACCACCTCCACCAATGATAATTCTTTCAAAAAAACCTGTCATACACCATCAGGGTTCTTTTAAATATTCCTAATCTCCTTCCTTTTGCAGAACACAATTTGGCTTTAATCAAATCTGTATGTCCCAGATTGTAATTTCTAAGACCCCAATAAACACCTTATCTTAGGCACTTTTTGCCTTTGGTC
This sequence comes from Homo sapiens, assembly GCF_000001405.40. Taxonomy (NCBI): domain Eukaryota; kingdom Metazoa; phylum Chordata; class Mammalia; order Primates; family Hominidae; genus Homo; species Homo sapiens. Next base: position 88,451,943 of record NC_000013.11, on the reverse strand, counting down.
TTTTGTCTCTTCTTGGTTGGCAGTATACATGTTTTAAATGCCTTTTTTTTGAGACAGAGTCTTGCTCTGTCACGCAGGCAGGAGTGCAATGGCACGATCTCAGCTCACGGCAAACTCTGCCTTCTGGATTCAAGCAATTCTCCCACCTCAGACTCCCGAGTAGCTGGGATTAGAGGCACCTGCCATCACTCCCGGATAAATTTTGTATTTTTGTAGAGACAGGGTTTCACCACATTGGCCCGCTGGTCTTGAACTCCTGATCTGAGGTGATCAGGCCGCCTCAGCCTCCCAAAGTGCTGGGATTACAGGCATGAACCACTGCACCCGGCCTTAAATGCCTATTAAAATACATTCAAACTCTGAAATTCTGAGATTCAGACCTGAAAAATTAAACTGTTTCTAAATGAGATCATATTATTTTCTGGCATAAAAACAAAAAAGACTGTTAACATGGTTGTTACTTTACTAATAGAAACTTTCCAAGATTGTTCCTGGGGCATGTGTTTCTTACACATGAACATACATATTTGTGTGAATATGTCTTTGTTTATGTGTGTATGAGTAATTGCTATATTTAAAACTATTCTAAAGATTTTATTTTTATCCTGATGGGACTCTATTTTAAAACACAATGATTTGCAGGTGGCAGCCACATTTATCTTATCTTTTGTGTTGTAAATGTAACATTTATTGTAGAAAATATGAAAGCTTAATTTAGATTGAAAACAAATCAGGCCATAACTTAATCTTCACTTCTATAAGTTTTATTGAAGTAGAAGCAAAGCCAAAATGCATATTTGTTTTGTTAAATTGCTAAGTGTATGAATTTGATTCTTTTTAAATTTATGGTTATTCATATTCCTAGGTGGATAACTGTTTTTTATGTATATACAGAGGAAATCATACCTGATATAGTTTGTGGAAAATGTAGCACTTTGTTTATATCTGCTGCCTAAATGTGTGTATTTTTATCTCTGTCTAAAATGGTTTTATTATCATATTAACTTAATTAAACAATTCAAAAACATTAAATATACAAGTAAAATAGAAAGCAAAGTACTATAAATATGACAGCTGTGTAGTTGTAATAAGTTCTCCTTTCCCAGAAAACATCCTGGGATTTATTATACAAGGTCATGTCTGGAAAAAAAGATTAAATATTGCAGGACCATTACAGTCTACCATAGCTGCTCCTTGCACTTTTATTTAAAGGCTACATGATTGACACATTTTATTAGCTAGCTCTATGCCTGCAGCTTTGTCATAGCAATTGCTAAATTAATTTACAAACTTCAGTCAACTTGTTGTATTTGTATCGCTGTCTCCCTGGATATCCTTCACAATACTAGAATTCCCTCTAGACAAAGCATTGCTGTTAAAACCTTAATTCTTCCCTTGTTAAATACTTGCGTTCTTTTGATTTCAGCATAGGTCTAAAGGGTATGCTTTCCTGACACACATTCTATTTTGTCAATGACTACTTCAGGAAGAAGTCAAATTGCAATGTGTATGGGATGGGTTATTTACATTTTATTTTAATAGAAGCTATTATAATTCATTGTATTCTACAATAATTAGGTTTTAATGTAGTCATTGGCAACAAACTTAAACTCAAGGAAGGGTAGCAGTGACTCAGAGAAAGCTGAAGATAGCTTGACGGTTACAAAAAATGTTTACAAAGGAAATATGGTTTATGAATAAATCAAATAAATTTGGAAAAAATATTCACTGGAAGAAGTCTTCAACAATGAACAGGTACAATGTGATCCTTTTAGCTTCCTACTGACATCAAGCTTATTTTGTCTTAAAATAATCAAATGTTTATGGCATTTATTTTGCTTCAAATAAAATCTTATTCCTTTGAGACTTACCTCACCTTTCCTGTACTAATACCTGTGGGATCATTTAGGAACATAGGAGACATACAGAGATTGTCTTTGGACTATCAATGCTTAAACATAGGTATTATTGCTGGATGGTTCCCTACTCTTCCATGACAACTTCACTGAAGGTAATCTTTTTCAGAAATTCATAGGGAGAGAAATGAAAAGATGCTGGAATATATTTATGAACTGGAGGAGATGAATGAAGGAGGCAGGGCGATTCAGACATAATGAGACAATGTTAGGTAATAACAGGTTCTCTTAGTTTGGAAGAAAAACTTCACTCAGTATGTCTATGTGATTTTCTTTGTTGACTTCTAGTAGGCAAAATTTACTTCAGTTATTCATGCAGACACAAAACAATACCACCACCACCAACATATCTAAAGTCTCATAAAAATATTTACAAAATGCCTATTCCTTTCATTTAGCTTAAACTATGTGTTTCCTGGACCTATACTTCCTGAGTGCTGAGATTTTATGTATAGGCCTGAAGATAACGTTTGCAGTTTGGCAAAATTATCCACTACTTTAAAGAAACTTTTTAAACGTAAGTTTAATGAATATTGAAATATTTTCCATATATTATTTTCTAAGCAAATCTTTGTGTAATGTAATTTTTGGAAACCATATATGTAAATAATAAATTTAAAAATGCATTGAAGTCCATAGACATTAAGCCACATAGTCAAGGTAATACACCTCATGAGTAGCAAAGTTAGAATAAACACTCAAGCCTGGCTGATTCAGTATTCCTTTTTTTTTTTAAAAAAAAAAAAACAAACTACACCCATGTTCTGTTAAGCTGCTTCTATGTTTAAAATCAGAGTTATAACCAAAAGCATAATATAAATTTCAGCTTTCTGAATTTAGGCCTTATTGCTTTTTGGATAATTTCTTACACTATTAGTAGGCTCAGTTAGCCATGATTCTACTGATGAACTTCAGGTAATGTTTCAGAAAAAATAACTCTCAGCTTGATGCTTACATTGAAAATTCATTGTATGTCTTAGTCAGCTTGGGCTGCTATAACAAAAATATTGTAGACTATGACGCTTAAAGAAAAGGTTATTTACTCCTCATAGGCTAGGAAGTCCAAGATCGTGGTTTCAGCTGATTCAGTTCCTGAAGAGGACTCTCTTCCTTGTCTGCAGATGTGCACCTTCCTGCTGTATGAGGGGGAATCGGAAAGAGAGACAGAATATGAGGAAGTGCTCTAGTATCTTCTCATATAAAGACACTAATCCCATTATGTTGGTTCTACTCTTACAACCTAATTATCTCCCAAAGGCCCCACTTCCAAATACCATCACACTGGTTATTAAGGGTTTTAATGTATGAATTTGGGGGGAACATCAATATTCAGTCCACAGCATTGTACAAAGGAAATCTAACCCAATTAAATATTGTATTAACCATGATGTCAGCTCCAATCTCAAAGTCCTTACTTTAGGACTCTTAATTAGCCAGGTACCTTCAGAAAAAAATCAACCAACCAAACGAACAAAAAACTATATAAGAACTGTATCTGGCTTCCTATGTTTTATAGTAAGAATTTTTTTTTTTTTTTTTGTAAAGTGCTTATACAGGCCTATAATCCCAGCACTTGGGGAGGCTGAGGCAGGCGGATCACGAGGTCAGGAGATCAAGACCATCCTGGCCAACATGGTAAAATCCCACCTCTACTAAAATACAAAAAATTAGCTGGGCATAGTGGCTGAGGCAGAGGAATGGCTTGAATCTGGGAGGCAGAGGTTGCAGTGAGCTGAGATCGTGCCACTGCACTCCAGCCTGGCGACAGAGCAAGACTCTGTCTCAAAAAACAACAAAAAAAAGTACTTATACAGAGATTCTGTAATTTGAAATATAAGAATAGAAATAAAAATAAAAACAACTATAATATAAATTGTGATACTGGGGAAGATGTTTGAATCTTATATAAGATTAGAGAATGGAACATTAACTTCTATCTGAATTGATCTAAGAAGATATTAAATTGAATCTTAGAAATATAGTATGTGTTATTTTTGCTTGTTACAAAAATTAGCAAGGTTGTGGCAATCAGAAAACAGGATACTCATCAAATAATATTAAATTACTCAAATTTCTGGATAGTAGAATTCTGCATTAAGATTATATATACTACTCCAATATAGAGTGTTGGAGTAGTTAATTGAAATAATAGTTAACTTAAAATGAATTGCCTTTGAATGTCAATCCAAGGATTTTGAATTTTAGGTTTATTTTTAGCAAACAGCTTTACCATGGGAATATTATTCTTACAGATATATCCAGTATGTCCTGAGGAAAAAAAAAGTCATGACAATTGGAGGGTGTAACTGTAAGAATAAGGTAATATGGGCTGGGCACGGTCACTCACACCTGTAATCTCAGCACTTTGGGAGGCCAAGGCAGGCAGATCAAGAAGTCAGGACATCAAGACCATCCTGGATAACACAGTAAGACCCCCGTCTCTACTAAAAATACAAAAAATTAGCAGGGCGTGGTGGCGCACACCTGTAGTCCCAGCTGTTCGGGAAGCTGAGGCAGGAGAATCCCTTCAATCCGGGAGGCGGAGTTTGCAGTAAGCGGAGATAGCACCACTGCACTCCAGCCTGGGGGACAGAGCAAGACTCGGAGACTCTGTCTGAAAAAAAAAAAAAAAAAAAAAGAATAAGGTAATATGGGTTAAACAACATTGATGATGGTAGTAAAGGGTATGAAGAAAAAGCACTTTTATTAATGGTGTCTCTCAAGGTCTGAGTACTGGCCTGACACCATTTGAATCACCCTTTTGGCACCTGCAAACAATTACATACAATTGGCTATTTAAATGTTTGTCTCTCACTAAGATGTAAGAGCCATAAGGGCTAGGACTATATCCTATTTTTCACTGAGTTGTAGTAACATCAAGAGTTAAATTCTGGGCCAGGCGCTGTGGTTCATGCCTGTAATCCCAGCACTTTGGGAGGTCGATGCAGACAGATCATGAGGTCGGAGTTCAAGATCAGCCTGGCCAACATGGTGAAACCCCATCTCTACTAAAAATACAAAAAAAGGCCGGGCCCAGTGGGTCACGCCTGTAGTCTCAGCACTTTGGAAACCTGAGGCAGGCGGATCATCTGAGGTTGGGAGTTCGAGACCAGCCTGACCAACATGGAGAAACCTTGACTCTACTAAAAATACGAAATTAGCCGGATGTGGCGGCACACATCTCTAATCCCACCTACTCAGGAAGGCTGAGGCAGGAAAATCGCCTGAACCCAGAAGGCGGAGGTTGCAGTGAGCCAAGATCGCACCATTTCACTCCAGCCTAGGCAAGAAGAGTGAAACTACGTCTCAAAAAAAAAAAAAAAACAACCACCTAGCTGGGAGTCGTGGCACGTGCCTGTAATCCCAGCTACTAGGGAGGCTGAGGCAGGAGAATCGCTTGAACCCAGGAGACAGAGGTTGCAGTGAGTGGAGATTGTGGAGATTGCACCATTGCACTCCAGCTTGGGAGACATCTCAAAAAAAAAAAAGAAAAAAAAAGAGTTAAATTCTACTGTGTACTTACCTGCGATTTAGATTCTACTGTCTAGCAACCTGTGATTTAGAAAGTATCTAAACCAACCTGTGATTTAGATACTGCCCCATATTATAGTTGTTTTTAAACAAATTCAAATATCTAGGTAACTTGTCCCAGATCACACGGAGTACCTGGAAGAGCTGGAACACGAAGCTCAGGTATTTATCTGCAGCACTGTTTCTATCTATGCACAGCAACAAAATTTATCTTTATTTTCACAAAAATATGAAAGATGAACGCATATTCCAAAGAATGCCTAATAGTGTTTTAGTGGTATAATTTTTAAAGTATTTTTAATAAGTGAAAAAAATGACAATTTTCAAATATCATAGGAGAGAAATCAGATGCTCATGAATTAAGACTGGAAGAATACTGAGGAATACACATTGACCTATTATGAAACTGATGAGGCTGGGTGCAGTGGCTCAACCCTGTAAACTCAGCAATTTGGCTGTGAAGGTGAGAGGGTCACTTGAGGCTAAGAGTTCTAGACCAGCCTGGGAAACATAGGGACACTCTGTCTCTACCAAACAAAAAATAATAAACATTAGCCAGAGTTGGTGGTGTAAGCTCGTAGTCCCAGCTACTCAGGAAGGTGAAGCAGGAGGATCACTTGAGCCCAGGAGTTTGATGCTGCAGTGAGCCATGGTCGTATCATTGCCCTCCAGCTTGGGTGACAGAGTGAAACCCTGTATCAAAAAAATGAAAAAAGAAGGAAAGAAACTGAGAAATAGTACTCTTACCAAGGGCATGCTGTGTGCTTTACCCTTTGGTGACTCTGGGGTTATCCTCCAATGCATGTTTGCTAATTCTTTTAGTACTTGCACTCCATTTTGTTGTAGCTAGCTTTATTGCAAATTTTGTCTAGAAAACTACTTTAAAGTTCATATGGAACCAAAAAAGAACCCGCATCGCCAAGTCAATCCTAAGCCAAAAGAACAAAGCTGGAGGCATCATGCTACCTGACTTCAAACTATACTACAAGGCTACAGTAACCAAAACAGCATGGTACTGGTACCAAAACAGATATATAGATCAATGGAACAGAACAGACCCCTCAGAAATAATGCCACATATCTATAACTATCTGATCTTTGACAAACCTGAGAAAAACAAGCAATGGGGAAAGGATTCCCTATTTAATAAATGGTGCTGGGAAAACTGGCTAGCCATATGGAGAAAGCTGAAACTGGATCCCTTCCTTGCACCTTATACAAAAATTAATTCAAGATGGATTAAAGACTTAAACGTTAGACCTAAAACCATAAAAACCCTAGAAGAAAACCTAGGCATGACTATTCAGGACATAGGCATGGGCAAGGACTTCATGTCTAAAACACCAAAAGCAATGGCAACGAAAGCCAACATTGACAAATGGGATCTAATTAAACTAAAGAGCTTCTGCATAGCAAAAGAAACTACCATCAGAGTGAACAGGCAACCTACAAAATGGGAGAAAATTTTTGCAATCTACTCATCTGACAAAGGGCTAATATCCAGAATCTACAATGAACTCAAACAAATTTACAAGAAAAAAACAAACAACCCCATCAAAAAGTGGGCAAAGGATATGAGCAGACACTTTTCAAAAGAAGACATTTATGCAGCCAAAAGACACATGAAAAAATGCTCATCATCACTGGCCATCAGAGAAATGCAAATCAAAACCACAATGAGATATTATCTCACACCAGTTAGAATGGCAATCATTAAAAAGTCAGGAAACAACAGGTGCTGGAGAGGATGTAGAGAAATAGGAACACTTTTACACTGTTGGTGGGACTGTAAACTAGTTCAACCATTGTGGAAGTCAGTGTGGCGATTCCTCAGGGATCTAGAACTAGAAATACCATTTGACCCAGCCATCCCATTACTCGGTATATATCCAAAGGACTATAAATCATGCTGCTATAAAGACACATGCACACGTATGTTTACTGAGGCACTATTCACAATAGCAAAGACTTGGAACCAACCCAAATGTCCAACAATGATAGATTGGATTAAGAAAATGTGGCACATATACACCATGGAATACTATGCAGCCATAAAAAATGATGAGTTCATGTCCTTTGTAGGGACATGGATGAAATTGGAAACCATCATTCTCAGTAAACTATCACAAGGACAAAAAACCAAACACCGCATATTCTCACTCATAGATGGGAATTGAACAATGAGAACACATGGACACAGGAAGGGGAACATCACACTCTGGGGACTGTTGTGGGGTGGGGGGAGCGGGGAGGGATAGTATTAGGAGATATACCTAATGCTAAATGACGAGTTAATGGGTGCAGCACACCAGCATGGCACATGTATACATATGTAACTAACCTGCACATTGTGCACATGTACCCTAAAACTTAAAGTAAAATAATAATAATAATAATAATAAAAAGAAAATGTGTTTTATGGTGAATATTGTTTCAAGTTATTAAAATCAATTTGAAATTACCTCTCTTGAAAAATGATTGTGAGATCACTGGAGATGTTAATGGATGTTTGTAACTGTCTGCTTCTTGTACTATTCTTTCTTCTCCGTGAGAAAAAATAAATAAATTCACTGTGCCTCTGTGTATGAGGCTTCTAATATATATAAAATGCAGAAGTCAAATATGTAAGCAGAACCATTCCAACTATTGGTGAAGGGCATAGAAAATTTCTGGATCTAATGAAGGCTGCTGTGTACTGACTGTCCTCTGAACTCACAATTAATCAAATTTGACAACTGACTACAAAATGCAGATTACTTGCAGATAACAACTTAGGTATCAAATATTCTCCTTACTCTCCTTGAACTATGTGTTTGTTTTTTACTCCATGAATCTGGTATTTTATACATACTCAATAAATCTATTATCCAAAGTTGCTTTAAATAGCTAGTACTTATGTGTCCATTTAATTATCTGATACGTTAGCAATGTATCAAGTGACTTGAACTGCAGTGAAGAATGTTTGATTTCAAGGACACTTATTTTGTTTGCCAATAATCATAATGCATGTTTTGAATGCATGTAGAGTCCTATTTTTGATGGAAAAAGGATAATTTATTTGTTATATTTCATTGCCATAGTAAAAACAATATAACTGATTATTATTACTAATACTAATTGTAATTAAGTAAAACATTTAATAATTTTCATAGCCAAAAATTTTTTCTAATATACATTTAATACTAAATGTATCACTTAACATTAATCATCCATAATCTAATTTTCCAAGTGTTATTTTGTAAAAATATATGGAGTGTTAAAAGGTGGCCATTATCAAAAATTGTTAAGAAATATGCAGAATAAAGGCATTTACTTGAAATAAATGTGGAATGAAATGAATCATATAAGTTGACTAAGAAATAAAATAGTGAGAAAAAATACAGCAAATAGGATTATAATAATTGTCAAGCAAAATAATAAATATCCCCTTCAAAATACCGTGGTTCCCTGCTGGTATTTGTTTGTTGAGAGTGCAGCAGTGGAAAATGCATGGATGTGGATAATAATTTGTTGAAGATAAATCAATTGAAATACATTAAAGGAAAAGAAGCTTATTTGTAAATTAATTTAACCCACTCAAGTGCAGAATTATATCATGTTGATTATTGTTGATTATTATTTCCAAACTTTGGAGCAGGAGATACTTTAGATACAAATATGTACACATAATTAATTACTAGAGAACCAGATTTGGCTATTATTTTTCCTCTATGTATTATAAATAATCACATGAAACAAACAATCTGAGTTTGCTAATTGCCTTCTGAACTTTAATTTTGAAGTATACTGGAGGATTCCAGAAACTAATGCTACTTACAGCAATGACTAATTTTAATCAGTCATTTTATGGAAGTGATGATTAAAAAAAAACAGAAGCAGATGATAAAAAAAAAATCTCAGACAGAGTGAAGTATTCCTTTAAATAGAACATTTCATAAACAGTAAAGTCAAACTATTCTAGGCTTCAGGACAAAATCAGCAAACTAGAATACTGTAAATACTGTAGTTTTATAACTGTAATCAAAAAGATATAATGACCATATATATGGAGTTATATTTTAAATACTCTGCAAAGACCTTTCTACTTCAAGTCATCAGGTGGATAAACACATTAATTTGTTACTGTAAAGTAGAAGTCATTCTACCATAAGTACAAATGAAATGCATAAATATACTTACTTCATTAACATTTGACTAGAAGTTGGTGTAAAATATGAGATTGGCTTTTCTTTGTCCTAGTTCAGTTGCTACAAGAAAATATCTATTATCAGATGTCATACTGAAAGCTAGCTAAATTTGTGAAATTTGTGGCATGATGTGCAAAGTTAGAACCAGCAAGCCTCAGTCATTTTTATTATTTATACCTATGATCAGGAATAAAATCATAAATGTAAGAGTTTACTGATAGTCTTGGTACATGTATTCAGGGTCTCCGGAGAAAGAGAACCAATATAGTATTTATTTATTTATTTATTTATTTATTTGTTGGTTAATTATAAGGAATTTGCTAACTTAATTATGAAGGCTAAGTACCAAGATAGCAAGATGGCAGGGTGAGTTGGGAATCTGGAGACCCAGGAGAGCTGATATTGTCTTTCCAGTCCAAAGCCAAAGGCCTAAGAACCAGGAAAATTCATGGCAACTACCTCAGGGAAAGGCTGTTCCTCAACAAATGCAGGGTTAATCTTCTCAGATGGGAGCGGAGAGGCTGCTTCCACTGGCAAAAAGGACTCATCGGAGTCTAGAGACTCAATGGCTCCAGCTTGATCAGTTTCTTTTCATATCTCCATTTCAATTTTTAGTTTTTCATTCTTCCCAATCAATGTATTTATGTTAAGAGTAAACACTCTGAGAGGTGGGGGCATTAACTTTCATTGGGATTCAGTCAGTTGCAAGATGACATTCAGAATTGATTTTTAGCAATATCAGCCCTGCAGCTGCAGGAGATAAGGGGCTCCATCAGGGCCCACATAGAAGCTTTAAGGTAATGTATGTAGTGCTTGAGGCAGGAATTCAATTCACTGTGCTCATCATTTTATTTCCATATTTTGTCCAGGAAACTCTAGAAGCAACCAGCCAATGCCATTTTATTTGTTAGTTTGACAATAATGTTTAAAAGTATCATATACACAGTTACTCAGATCCTTATTTATAAGTGGTTGGTTAGGAGTGTGCAATGGTAATATTTTTCTAGTCTCTATTGCCACATCATACCATGAACTACTAGCTTTCTTATTACTGGAAATAGAGCTATTGGCATATTTAAGTATTATCATATTACATATCCAATTACAGAAACCCCAGACCCAATTCAGAAAATTTATCTTTAAAATTTTATTATTCTAGAACCACTCTTGGTACTTAAATATGTATCAGTCAAAGTTTTCCAAGAAACAGAATGAATAGAATACAGATAGATAAACAGATAGTAGATAGGTAAAAATATAGGATATATATATATATGTATATAATAGGATATAAATGACAAAATAATGGAATATATATATGTATACATGCACACAAAAGATTTACTATAAAAAATTGGTTTACATGATTATGGAGCCTGATGAGCCCCAAGATTTGCAAGGTACATTTGCAAAGAAGACCTAGGAGAGCCGTGGTGTATTCCAGTCCAAAGGCTGGCAGTCTTGAAAACCAGGAATAAGCAATGCTTCAGTTCAAGTTTGAAGAAAAGAAAAAGTGAATGTTCCAGTTTAAAGGTAGTCAGCCAGGAGGAATTTCCTTTAACTCAGGGAAGAGTTAGTATTTTTGTTCCATTCAGGCCTTCAATTAACTGGTTGATGCCTACTCACATTAGGGAGGACAATCTACCTTACTTAGTCTTCCAATTTAAGTGTTAATCTCATCCAAAAGCACCATCACAGAAACATCTAGTTTAATGTTTGAGCAAATATCTGGAAACTCCATGGTCCAATCAAGTCGACACATAAAATGAGCCATCACAGCCTGTATGTTCTAGCAATTTCTGCTAAATAGTATAAGAAGAAAAAAAATTATTTTTAGATATACATAAAATGTTAGCTTTCAATTGCTGTGTAACAGATTACCATGTTGAGTGGCTTAGAATAACACACATTAGTTGTTTCATAATCTACTTGAGTCAGGAGCCTGTGCACAGCTAGAAGGGTCCTCTGCTTGAAGTATTACACAGTTGCAATTAAACTGTTGACTGGGCTGTGTTCTCAGCTGGAGGCTCTGGGGAAAAATCTGCTTTGAAGCTCTTTCAGGTTATTGGCAGAGTTTATTACCTTTTGACTATATGGTTGAAAGTCCACATTATTACAGACTATTAAATGTAGGCTGCCCACAGATCCCACAGGTCTAGTGTAGTCACCAACCTGTTGAACCTCCCACAAGCAGTTCACCACATGGCTATTTTTCACTTCTTCAGGGTCAGATGTATGCCCTTTCTCTCCATCCTGAATAAGTAATATCCTATCACTATTGTTATATAATGTAATCTAATAAAGTTAGTGACACCCCATCATCACCATCACCATATTTCATTGATTAGAAGCAAGTATCATCTTCAGTTCAAGACAGGATATTATACAAATATGTGACTCATTTAAATTCAACAGGGTGTATTCATCACTATAAGAAAAATTGTGTTTTTTTCCCACTTGAAGCAAGAGCTGTTAAAAATAAGTTTTGTTATATGGTTTATTAATTTATTACACGTCAACAGAACACAACCCCATTGTAAGATAAGGGGCATTTGTACCTAAAAATGATTATGCAAAAAAAAATCCAGACACAATTTGAAACACATAGCATGCTAAAATAAAAATAGAAGTATTATGACATGTAGTAAATGGATTTTGTACTAATTTAGATTAGAACAACTCTTTATCAAAATGAGATTTCAGCTGAGGTCTACATTTTTTTGCCAAAGTCAATTGGAAACCATCTGTAAAGGCTTTGTCAAAAAGAAATATGACTTAATTTACATTTTCAAAACAATGCTTTTCTTATAAAGAATATCTATAGAGAATGGCCATTGTGCAGAAGAGTATAAAAGGTTAGTTAAGAGGATATTACATAGTTTGTGTTAGGGATGATAGCAGATTTGAATAGGATGGATGTTAAAATAAAAAAGAGAAAAATGATCCAATATATATTCTATACACCAGATCTAAAGATTTGACGCTTGACAGATTTGATATAGGAAGTACATATTTCACAATGTTAAGAGAAAACTAGACAGTAGCCCTAAATTGTCAATGTTCCTCTTATATCCTTAAGCAAACTGCATTGACCACATCTCTGAATAAGAACAGAGGCGGAAACACTGTTTGATGTAGTTATTGTGCTTTTGAGATACTCAAATAAAAATAGGAATTTATTGTATCAGTTAGTATATGGTATGTGCGTGTGTGTGTGTGTGTGTGTGTGTGTGTGTGTGTGTGCATGAACACAAAGTTCCACAACCTAGAGAAAAAAAGTAGGGGGTCTCTATAGTCACATAGACATGAAACAATTGCCAATTGCCAATTGCCAATTGCCAGTTTGGGAGAAAGTCTCCAGAAGAGAAGTGAATATATAGCATTCTGGATATTGTAGTCTCTTTTCCTTCCCTTCCCTCCCTCCCTACCCCCCTCCCTCCCTTCCTTCCTTCCTTCCCTCCTTCCTTCCTTCCTCCCTCCCTCCCTCTTTCTTTCTCTCTGTCCCACCCTTCCTCCCTCCCTTCCACCCTCGCTTCCTCCTTCCCTCCCTTCCTCCCTCCCTTCCTTTTTCCTCCCATCTTTCCTCCCTTCCTCCCTTCCTCCCTTCCTCCCTCTGTCCCTCCCTTCCTCCCTCCCTCCCTTTTTTCCTCCCATCTTTCCTCCCTAACTTCCCCGGCTCTCTTTCTTTCTTGTTTTCTTTCTTGACAGGGTCTTGCTCCATTGCCCAGGCTGGAATGCAGTGGCATGGCATACCTCACTTCAGCCTCAAACTCTTGAGCTCAAACAGTCTTCCCACCTCAGTCTCCCGAGTAGCTGGGACTATAAACATTCATTATCATGTCTGGCTTAGATATTGTGTCATAAATCCTTTTTATAACCTGCATGAACAGTTAATATTCCAAAAAGAAATACCCTCAGAATTTGTTTGCATCTCTAATTGGCTCCAGGTGTAGTCTTATTGTCTACTATTTGTTTTTACTGAGAATTTATGTAATTGTTCAAACACTTGCGATTTTAGAGTGAGGAGGGAGATGATCATAGGTCATTTTTTCCTTACTTTATATCTCCTTTTAAAATCCAGACCCAAACACAGAGAGGTAATAAGGTCTATGCACAAATATCTTAGATAATTGATTACATAAAGTTAACTTTTACTCATTGATGATAGCATAACTAGAGAAAGATTAGATGGCATTGTTTCTTTTTAACATTCATAAACTATTTTGCTGAGAAAATAAAAGAGATATGGCCGGGCGCGGTGGCTCACGCCTGTAATCCCAGCACTTTGGGAGGCAGAGGCGGGTGGATCATGAGGTCAGGAGATCGAGACCATCCTGGCTAACAAGGTGAAACCCCGTCTCTACTAAAAATACAAAAAATTAGCCGGGCGCGGTGGCGGGCGCCTGTAGTCCCAGCTACTCGGGAGGCTGAGGCAGGAGAATGGCGTGAACCCGGGAAGCGGAGCTTGCAGTGAGCCGAGATTGCGCCACTGCAGTCCGCAGTCCGGCCTGGGCGACAGAGCGAGACTCCGTCTCAAAAAAAAAAAAAAAAAAAAAAAAAAAAAGAGATATTAAACAGACTGTACTCTATAAGGGCCTAAAATAAAGTTGAAATGAGTAATAAATTATGAAATAATTAGAAAGAACACAGTTACTATATGAAATATGGGAAATTATGAAGTTACTCTGGGGAAGTTCAGATTCCAGCCACAAATATCTCATCAATTTAAAAGTCACATAGCAAAAGCCCTACTGTGAAGACAGAATGACATGTGGCCAATGAAATGTGAGAGAACCCAGATTATTTGATGCCATCTCAGGCTGGCTTCATGACATATGACCAGTGCAGCCACATAGGGTCCCACATTTGGTTTAATTGTTTTTTACCATTTTCAAATTATATATATGTGTGTGTATACATATATATATACACACACAGACACACACATTTACATATATATGTGTGTACATATAATTAAATACATATGTATATATATACTTTTAATATTTGGTTTTAATTGACAAAAATTGTGTATGTTTCTGGTGTGCAGCATGATGTTTTGCCACATCCATAAACTGTGGAATGACTAAACTAAGCTAATAACATAACCATTACCTCACACATTTATTAATCTTTTGTTTCGTTTTTGCTGTGAGAACATTTAAATCTACTCTGTGGTTTCTGCATAAAAATGCTTTGTTGTTAACTATGGTTACCATGTTGTTCAGCATATCTCCTGAACTTATTCTTCCTGCCTCAATGAAATTTAGTGAGATCCACATGTCAGTGAGATCATGCAATATTTGTCTTTTTGGGTCTAGCTTATTTCACTTAGCATAATGTACTCCAGCCTCATGAATGTCATTTAAAATTACAGGATTGTCTTCTTTTTAAAAGGTGAATAACATTACAATGGGTATGTATACCACATTTTAAATTCTTTCATCTTTGATGGACACTAAGTTGATTCCATATCTTGGCTATTGTGAATGGTGCTGCAGTGAACACAGAAGTACAGATATCTCTTTGACATACTGATTCCTTTCCTTTGGATATACACCCAGAAGTGTAATTACTGGATGATATAGTAGCTCTATTTTTTTATTTTTTGAGAAACTTCTATACTTATTTCATCATGGCTATACTAATTTACATTCCCATCAAGGGTACAAGATCTCCATTTTCTCCATACCCTTGCAAGCACTTGTTAACACTTGTCTTTTTGATAGTAGCCATCATAACAGATATGAGGTGATACCTCATTTTTGCTTTGATTTGCATTTCCCTGATGGTTAGTGATGTTGAGCATTTTTTAATACATCTATTTGCCATTGGTATGTTCTGTTTTGAGAAATATTTATTCAGTTCCTTTGCCCATTATTTTAATTGGGTTGTTATTTTATTTTGCTATTGAGTTGTTTATGTTTATTATGTATTTTGGATATTAACATCTTATCAGATGTGTGGTTTGCAAATATTTTTTCCCATTTCAGACGTTGTTTTCATGCTGATATTTCCTTATCTATAGAGAAGCTTTTTAGTTTCATTCAATCCATATCAATTTTTGTTTTTGTTAACTGCACTTTTTAGTGCCTTTTCCAAAAAATCTTTGCCCAGACCAATGTCACAAAGTTTTTTCCCTATTTTTTCTTCTAGTAGTTTAACAGTTGCAGTTCTTGTGTTTAAATGTTTAATCCATTTTGAGTTAATTTTTGTATAAATTGTGAGGTCAGGGTCTAACTTCATTCTTCTGCATGAGAATATCCAGTTTTTCCAAGACCATTTATGTAAGAGATTGTCCTTTCTCCACTTTATGTTCTCAGCCCCTTTGTTGAAAATCAACTGGCTCTGAATGCATGAGTTTTTTACTGGGCCCTCTTTTCTGTTCCATTGGGCTGCATGTCTGTTTTTATGGCAGTACTATGCTGTTTTGATTACTCTAGACTTATAGTAGGTTTTAAGATCAAGTAGTGTGATGACTCCAGGTTTTTTTGTTTGGTTGGTTTTTTGTTGTTTTATTTATTTTTTGCTCAAGATCTGTTTGCAGATGACATAATCTTATACATAGAAAACCCTATAAATTTTTTAAAAATACTTATCAGAACAAATAAACTAATTTTTTAAAGTCTCAGAACACAAAATCAACATACAACAATCAGTAGGGTTTCCACAGACTAATAACAAGATATCTAAAAAAAAAAAAACAAGAAAACGTTTATCACACGAACCCACCCCCAATATTTCAACGTAGGTTCTTTCTATTTTTCGTAAGTGTCGGCCGGCTGAGAAATAAAGACAAAGAGTACAAAGAGAGGAATTTTACAGCTGGGCTGCCAGGGGTGACATCACATATTGCTACGACCGTGATGCCCACCTGAACCTCAAACCAGCAAATTTTTTATTAAGGGTTTCATAAGGGGAGGGGGTGTAAGAACAGGGAGTAGATCACATGCTTCAAAGGGCAAAAAGGAGAACTACTGATAAGGGTCTATGTTCAGCAGTGCACGTATTGTCTTGATAAGTATCTTGAACAGCAGAAAACAGGGTTCAAGAGCAGAGAACGGGTCTGACCTCAAATTTACCAGTGTGGAGTTTTTCCCCACCCTAATAAGCCTGAGGGTACTGCAGGAGACAAGGGTGTATCTCAGTCCTTATCTAAACCGCATAAGACAGACACTCCCAGAGTGGCCATTTACAGACCTCCCCCAGGAATGCATTCCTTTCCCAGGGTATTAATATTAATATTCCTTGCTAGGAAAAGCATTTAGTGATATCTTTCCTACTCGCACGTCCGTTTATAGGCTCTCTGCAAGAAGAAGAATATGGCTCTTTTTGCCCAAACCCAGAGGCAGTCAGATCTTATGGTTGTCTTCCCTTGTTCCCTAAAAATCGCTGTTATTCTATTCTTTTTCAAGGTTCACTGATTTCCTATTGTTCAAACACAAGTTTTCCAGTCAATTTGTACAGTTAACACAATTGTAACAGTGGTCCTGAGGTGATGTACATCCTCAGCTTATGAAGATAACCGGATTAAGAGATTAAAGCAAAGACAGGCATAAGAAATTATAGAAGTATTATTTGGGAACTGATAAATGTCCATATTAAAATTAAATCTTTACAATTTATGTTCCTTTGCCGCAGCTCCAGCTGGTCCCTCCACTCGGGGTCCCTGACTTCCCGCAACAAACATTCCCATTTATAATAGTACAAAAAATAATACTTAGGAATAAATTTAATCAAGAAGATAAACTATTTGTACACTGAAAACTATAAAGCATTCTTAAAAGAACCTGAAGACACAAATAATTGGGAAGATATGAATTGGAATACTTAATATAGTTTAAATGTTCATACTACCTAAAGCAATCTATAGAGTCAATGAAATTCCTATCAAAATCTTGATGGCATTCTTTACAGAAATAAAAAGATAATTCTAAAAACTATATGGAGCCACAAAAATCTTGGTTTTGAAACTTAATAATTTTATAAATAAGACACTCTACATTTTAAATTTTGTACCATGTTTCATAAATTATTTAGCTGGTCCTAATGCCATTAAAGCCAAGAAAAATAAGGAATTGCTTAATGGACCAAATGCAAATATGTCTAGAAGAAGGTGTGGATTTAAAAAATTGGTTGGGATATCATGAAAGTCACTTAAGACTTCACAACATGTCTTTGAGTGAACATTTTAGAGCATGAAGCCACATTGAAATGAATTGTAGTATAGATTTTAGTTGAGAACATTACTGGGGCTCAGAAAATGGTACTCCAAAGGAAGGCTTCAGAAGCAGCCTCAGAAGCAAAGTTTCCCTCTGACTTTCTCCTGCCCTCCTGTCTCTCACCCCTCACTGTTCCCTGAGACAAGCCATAGAAACAAAAATTTCTCTTCCCCAGGTGAGTCATAGAAACTAGAACTCCTTTCCCCCAAAGCCAGGCATAAAAACCTAAAATATCGCCCTAACTTTTCCCTGCCTTACTGTGTAAAACTGGCCATAAAGAAATACTCTGGCCTACTTTGTTTGATTGTAGGTCACAAGATTCCTTATGTAGGGAGGGTCCTGCTTCATCCCAGAAGGAAGAAATGCAACACACACAGACTAAGGAGAATCTGAATGGATAGGCCTTGCTAGGTCCAACCCTTATATTATTATCATGAGATCATACCATTTCTGTTCAATTGCAGTGCTACACTGCTCTTCCTGCTCTTATGAAACTAAGCATAAAATTAGATAGCTTCCTCTGTATCTTTGAGTTTTCAATCTGAAGACTTTGTGTCACATAAAACTATGATCAAATACATTTGTTATGGCTTTTCTCCTGTTAATCTGTCTACTGCCAGCTTATTTCAGTAGACTCAAAAGTGAACCTTCAGAGAGGAGGTTTGAACTTCCCTACAAAGTCAAAAGAGTGAATAACAAACATTTCAAAGAAACTTTTCTGTGAAGAAGAATAGAAAAAGAAAGAAAGAGCATGTGAGTATAGGATAAAAGAGGAATATGGGTTAGAGAAAAAGTATTTTCTGTGTTTATGTCTTTTATATAGATGTTTCTAAGGCATGTTTGAATATCAAAGTTAAGAATCCCATAAAGAGGCAGAGGAAGATATGGTAAAATAAAAGTTAACCAAAAAGAACAAGAACCACAAAAGAAGTAAACGGAATGATATTTGGAACAAGTATAGGAATGCTGGCATTTGAATGCAGAGTGTCCCTTTACTTTGTTTAATGGTAGGGAAGAGACAGAGATGTCCAAATGCAGGTAGAATTTTAGATGGGCCATGGGAAGATGACATAATTTCAGTATCAGAGCCTGCATGCTATCAGGTTAACAGTTTAGAGTGGAAAGAGAGGTGGGATATTGAGAAAAGTAAAAAAAGACAAAATTATCATTGTAGAAAGAAAGCGGAAAGTAGAGTTTACCATTGATAAAGGGGAACTACTGGTGAGCTTTAAGCACTTCTTTGTCTGATTGAAAGGAGGGGATGGACAAGGGCAAACCTGAGCTCTAGGCTATCTTTGTTCAAATTAGCAGATATAATACTGAGGGCATAGGACTTAATAAACTCAGACAGGGCTTTAGACTTACTTGCTTCCTCCTTCCTCCTTTTATGCAGTGGCATTGAAACAAAAAGTTAATTGTCTTCCTGGACATATGGCACACCATTTGAAACCCACTAACCAAGCAGAGATCATGCTGAACACTTGTGTTCCCATCTCCATATTATATTTGAGTTAATCCCAGTTGTGCCATGGTTTAAAAAAATTTAAAGGCAATAGTTAGAAAACAGAGCATTGATATATTTTGAGAAAAATACAAGTTGTGCATTGCATCATGATTATTTATTTTTTCTTATAGGAAATTGCCAAACAACTTTTAAATTATTTTCTTCTACATCATCTCATACTTGACACTGGTACGAAAAGATATATTTAAATATTTTAACTATAATATTTTTAGAGTATTACATGCCCAGAGTGATAAATTATATGAGAAAGCACATTTCAATTTTTTTAATCAGCATTTTTTTACTCAAATTGTGCTCTTTTCCTTTTTAAGGACATAAAATAAGAAATTAACCTTTCTTCCTGGATGTTACTGGTTGAACATTGGTGATTTAACTTTGATTATTGACTTTTACCTTGTGGATTTTTTTAGTTGCATTTTTGAGTTTTTAATTGAAGTATAATTCATATCCTAATGAGCTCATTAATCATAAATTCACAGCTCAGGAAATTATTGCAGAATCAAGATAAGAGTGAAATTGCCCCTGGAGTTAAAAAAAATAGTGTTACTACCAGCACCTTAATTTATTACATCATAAGTATATTTTGCCTATTTTAACCTTGTGAAAATTGAGTCACACTGAAAATTGAGTCATACATGTATTCTTTTATTTCTGGCTTCTTCTACTCAACATTTGTTCTGTTGCAATACTCCATATTGCAATTATAATTAACTTACTATCAGTGCTGAACAGCAGTCCATTTTATGAATCATTTATTTATGTATTCATCTCTACATGGACAATGGACATTTGAACTACTTCCAGTTTGTATGTAAAGAAAATTTAGCTACAAATGCGCACATCTTTTTTATTTTTTTAATTTTTTTTTATTTTTAGGCGCAGTCTCGCTCTGTCACCCAGGCCGGAGTGCAGTGGTGCGATCTCGGCTCACTGCAAGCTCCGCCTCCCAGGTTCATGCCATTCTCCTGCCTCAGCCTCCCAAGTAGCTGGGATTACAGGTGTCTGCCACCACGCCCAGCTAATTTTTTTTTTTTTTGTATTTTTAGTAGAGACGGGATTTCACCATGTTAGCCAGGATGGTCTCAATCTCCTGACCTCATGATCTGCCTGCCTTGGCCTCCTACATCTTTTTATTTTTTATTTATTTATTTATTTTTGCATGTGCAAACCCATCTTTGAGAAGCGAAACATTTTCTGAGTAGAGACGCAGTTCTTTCAGCGTTTTTATTTTCTAAGATTACATAGTCATAATCTAAATTTAAGTTTCACAAAGATGAGAATAAGGTGTGTTGTGTTGGCTGGGTGGGCCTGAGCAACAAGGTACAGGCCATGAATCCACTGTTTTTCAAAGATCTTGAAAGGCAGAAGTTATTAAAAGACACATTTTGTTTTCTTTCAAACACCGGAAATATACCTAAGCCATAAAATGCAACAATAATTTCAATCAGGTTTGTGGGACTAATGAAGCATACACAGGAAGTGAGAGTCAGAAAGCTCCAAAAATTCTATTGTTTATAAAATGAAATATAAGGTATTTACATTGAGCATTTGTCTTTTAATATTTTCTATTAAGGTACCATGAAAATACTGAAACCTATTTTCAGGAAAAAGTTAAGATTAAAATTAGTACATATTAAGAAAAATATTTCATTTTATTTAGAAAATGAAGAAGTTTGCTTAATCTTTGGATGTATCAGAACACCCATCTACTCAAATATACATTTAAAGTTTGACTTCCTATTACTAACTCAACAAATAGAATATATGGAAAGCAATTTTTAAAATTTAAGATATAGTTATTTTTCCCATAAAAGAAAATAGTATTTGATATGGTTGTATTAATACATGTCTCAGAAATATGTGTTATCATAATTAGGTAATTACATATCATTTTAATAATACATATGTAATTATAATTATACATAATTTGACTTATACTGTACATTATGTAATTATACATAATTTTAATTATACATTTGTCATATCATCTAAGAAGTTAGAGATAAAATATCTGCTAGGTCACCTAGCAGTCAATCCTTTTCTTAGGATTCTGCCCCAGAGATTTTCTTCTCCTAAATATTTATCTCCTAAATATTTATTTTTATTCTTCAAATGAATTAATGAGACTGATCTTTTGTGCTTTTGTGCTCAATGAGCTTTTTTTTTGTTTTTTGTTTATAAGATTTTGTTTATATGTTGAAATTTATTATGCCTCTCAAAGTGTGTAGCAACTCAGGTGATATGGTTGTTAATGTATTTGTAGCGAAATTAAATTAAATGAGTCTCGTTTATAAATAGGTTAAGTTTATGAATTGAAGTTGCCCGCAAGATTTTTTCTCCCAACCCGGTTGGTATCTGTGATGTTGATAATCAGAATGGCAATGTATAGAAGATTAATGCTGAGGAAATGTCACCTCTAACACCTTTGGCTCATATTACAACTAGCTCTGCCTATTTAGAAGTTTGTTTTTCTGCAGTCCTGAACTGATGACACAGCTATCAGAATACTATGGTGCAGATAAGGAGGTCAAAGCTATGCTAACCTCAGAACCACTAAAATAGCATTTACTCTGTACTGGGTTTTGACATTCAGATCATTTGGGCAGTTGCTTTTAACTTGAAAATAAATTGAATACATAAGTTAAAGCTTTCCACAAGCAGTATTATCTTACATGATCAGCACTTTCTTAGAAAATCACCTCAGGGCTGACTGATCTTAGCAATATGTTTGCAGTATTCCCACGTGGGTGAATTGTTCTTTTGTACTATTGCTAAATTAGAAGTAAACACAAATTTCTCTTCTATGGTAGGCAAGGTAAGTTTAAATATCTATACCTCGGCCTCTCTTTTTTCTCTGTGTGTGTGTGTGTGTGTGTGTGTGCTTTTACATTTATATGTATATAATATACATGTCACATACGTATATGAGAAGCTATTTTTTCTTTCCTGTGAATATGTTAGTATATGTATAATGTACATATGTGCATATGTGTGTGTACTTGTGTTTATATTCAAATTTACAACCATCCCATGGCAATTTCAGTAAACTGCAGATACCTGCCTTAAGTTTTCAAGTAGAAAAAGACAGGTGTCCTGCTGATGGCATGTACAGTGATAATTACTAAGATAACTCTTTTTTAATCAGAAAAGTCAAATTACGCATCTTCTTGTTAGCAACAGACTTTAAATCCTAGTGGACATCTGCTCCCATTAGAATGTATTCTATTTGGCAGTGTAGCAAGCTGCAATGAAAATGAGGTGAAATAGTTCCCTTGACCCTTTTGCAGGACTTGTGAAGGGGGTGGCTTATTTACTCGGCCACCGCACTTAATCCCATATGGGAGGGAGCACACAAGCGGAAGGGTGCAGGAACCAGAGAGAATGAATGCTGGAACCGGCAGGTTGCTTCTCTCTGGCAGGAGCAGGCTCTGTGCGAACCCCACAGCAGCATCCAAGCATATTACAATGCTATTTAAGCTTTGCTGTCCAGGAGGTGGTGTCTGTGAACTGTGGAGACCCAGAGTGCATATGTTACAATCAGTGCCTTTTAGCAGTTGCCATCTGTGGAAGGCTAAGTGTTAACTACTTTGGTGGAGGGCCAGGGTGACACCCTGCCTTCTTGGTACCTGAGTTATTGTCTGGCATCCAGGAAGAATCAGGTCACATGAACAAATTGGAAGGTGGTGAATGTGATGGATTTTACTGAGTGGTGGAAGTGGCTCTCAGTGAGATGGGGAGCTGGAAAGGGGATGGAATGGGAAGATGGTCTTCCCCTGGAGTTCAGTCATCCCCTGCTGAATCCTCTCTGACCATCCCCAGCTGAACCCATCTCTGACCATAGTCTCCAACATCCAGCTGCTGCTTCTCCTCTTGATGTTCAGATGCTTCTCTCTTCTGTGTGTATGTGTGTCTGCTGAGTCTCAGGTTTGGGGGTCTTATGGGCACAGGATAGGGGGTGGGGTGAGCCAGAAGGCAATGTTCAGGCAGGAAAACGGGTAGTTCTCACTTTGGGCCACAGGTCCAGGCTTGAGAGTGGAGCCTTTGCCAGGGACCCTACCCTTTTCTATCTGGTATTTCTCTGCCTCCTGTCTGTATCAGAAAAAATAAAATAACAATAAGCTTTGGCTCCATGAGAGCCACTACAACACTGAATAAGTTATTTAATCCATTTGAACCATAGTTTCTTTGCCCATTAAGTAGAGTTGGTTATACTTCCCCTTTTAAAGCTTAGGTGAGAGTTTTCACTAAACATCTTAACAGAATTCTTAGAAGAAAGTAATTGCTGAATAATTTTTTTTCTTTTTTTTTTCTCTGTGATTAAGTCACCATATTCTGGTCAACTCTGACTTACATGTTCTGTCCCTCAGTGGCTCATGCTTTTGTTTACCTGCTGCATTTGGAAGCCCTGGAAACGGCTCAGAATAACTATATATGCATCCTTCGTAGTCATTAGCATCTAGTTGCATCTACTATGCATCAGTCAACTAAGTGCTGAGAACTGAAATAGGAAAAAGGCATGCACTGAACATGCTTGTGCTTTAGTGGAGATTTGGCCCTAAGCCTAAGCTGAGCTACTGCTTAGTCCATAATTATGCCTTAAGCAGGGAAATAGGGTAATATAAAACTTTATTTTTATTTTGTCAAGGAAGTTATATTATCTTACTAAAACAACTTCAATTTTCTGATCTGTAAATTAGGGATAATAATGGTACCCATTCTGTAGTATCTTCATGAGGATGATTGTTAATATTGTATGAAGCATAAGGACCAATGCCTCACACACAGTAAACTCTAAATGGTTTGAACAAGAAAAGGAGTTTTGTTTTAACTCTCAGATGACAATTTTGTTAAATAATTAAATGCAATTAATAAAATAGGGCCTTTGTATCAGTAATCTGGTCTTTCTAACTTGCTTCTTTTCTGAGCCTCTGAAGCCCTCTTGACCTTTCCCAATGAGTATTGTTATGTGGATAATTAACAAAATAAACTATAATTAGACCCCAAAGTTATTTTTTCTATATGATTTTATATATCGACTGAAATTCTTTTAATCTTATAATTTAATATCGTATGTCATAAGGTGTGCACAATACCTGTTGTATATTGAGTCCCTACCAAATATTTGCCAGCTACCTGGATAATGCAGGAGGAGGGTGAGATACTTGGAAATTAATTATGGCTGCAGTGTGTTGTTTTTCACTGACTGCAAGCTGAGTCCATGAAGGAGTTTTTTATTTATTTTTCCCTCTGTCTATCTGAGTTTTTTAAAATTTCAGAGTACAATTTCTCTTCATTCTCTGTACACTTGGAAAGACTGTTTAAATCACATTTATGGCTTCAAGCATGCAAGTTCCAAACATCTGTCTCATTCACATTGTATGTCCAGTGGTCTCTTTAAAAAGCACTAATATATTAATGATCTTCAAATCTGTATATTCCACACCTATTTCCTAGTTTCTACTCCCATATATTTGATGGCCACTGGACATTTTCCCTTTGATAACCACATAGGCATCTTGTTGAAAATTCAAATCATTTTTTCACTTGAACCTAATATATTTCCTATCTTATTTAATAGCACTGTCACTCATCCAGTTGCCCAAGGCAATTTCTTGGGAATCATTCTATATTTTTCTCTCTCCTTCTCAAACATAAGTCTCCCATCTCTGCTTCTTTCCAATTAAAGTGAGAATGTGTTTTGGCTGTACTATCTCTAGTGCAAATTATGATAATGACAGACTGCTGGTCTTCAGCTTTCCAGTCTGTTCACTGTCCTGCCAATCCTCAACATTTCTATCAATGCCTTTGGACTAAAGACAAATCTGATTCTGCTACTGTTCTACTTAAATTCCTCCTTTTCTAATATCTCACAGGCTAACAATTAACTTCTTAGAAAAGTCTGTATGTGCTTCTTGATTCCATGCTTGTCTACATGTTTAGTCTCATACAAATAACAAAAAAGTGCTGCAAGCATCCTAAACTGTATGAAACATACCAAACGAGACATGTCCCATCAGACCCTTCACCTTTTACTCAGGCTTTTTCTTTCAGCCAATACTGATCTCCTCTCCTTTTGGTGCCTCCTGTTTCTACTTTAGAAATCTAATTGAGGGTCTTCTACTCTATGAGTTCTTCTTAAATTGCTGAAGTAACGTTTGTAGCTCCATTATATATTCTCCTAATTGCTAGAACATCATTTTGAAATGGAAAATAACATATACTGTAATTGTATATTTATGAAGCTTTCATCCCAGCTCTTCCGTGAGTGCTTGAAAAGCAGAGATACAACCTATGCTTGGCACAGTATTTGAGGTGTGATAGAGAGCAGGGGTTTAGTAAATGTTAGTTTACTGTATTAATGCATTAATAATATCTATCTAACTCAGAAAAGACTACAGAATACTCCTTCAGTGTCAAATGAAGCTGTTACTTAGTAAGTCCACCTGTAAACTCTGTTTCTTTTTAGAATTTACTCATGGTTGGCTTCAAGATTTACTACTTGCTTAAAGCTGTAACACTATTAGGTTATATGTTAACTCGGAGATTTCTTGTCAGAAGAAAAATTAAGTCCAATAGTTATGATTGCATTGTCCTGTAGGATATTCACCAGCTTTGCATGAATACAAAAACTATAAAAAATAAGCCTCAGCCTTGAGCAGAAAATTTCAAGTCACAGACTAGATGGATTTGGATGAAGTATTTGAATAGCACTATTCAAGTGCTATTACTTAATGCTTTAAATCCTTATGGCCAATCAGCTGAATTGTACTTATTGCTTTCAAGTTAATTGTTGGTTTTATGAACTATGAAATGTATCAATCTCAAATTATAACACCTTAGTATAGAAATAAAGGCCTCAGTTCTGGAAGGTAAGCCCATTCAACTGTACCCTCAAATAATGGCATAAATAAGTGAGTCGCATTCTGCCAGTGTGGTGATAAATAAGAATAAATGATTACAAAGTGATAGTATTTCTACCTCCATTCCTATCTCCCTTCCAAGAAAGTTTTAATTCTTTCATAAAATAAAATCCAGTGCTTCGTATAATTATAATTGGAATTGTTCAACATTTATTTGTATCTAAAAATGACCCTGTTGATAAAAATAATAAATCTTTGAGAAAAATATTATTCACAGGAAAATTCATATTGGTTAAAACTCATTATATTGAAATAGTTTTTGTTTTATAATTTGATGTATATAATATCCAAATTCAAACATGCATTTTTTTATCTATTTAGCAAAGAATTGAGTTCATCTGATGATGAATTGTGTATGGCTAAAAGCAATTAACATAAAGTTCTGCATGACGTTTAGGCTTAAAGATAATAATAGTTCTTATTGAAAGACTCAACAGCTATATTTCTAGCTATCTCTGTTAATCTGACAATATATACTGTCACCCTTATTGTAGCTAATATTTAATAATGATTTAATAATTGTATGTAAACAACACATCCTAATAATAATGATGTTGTTATTCTCATTTTGTGGATACAATTGCAACATGAAACCATCATTACAAAAAAGCAATGTTACATATAATAGTATTAAACTCAGTTTTATGATAAATATTAATTTTCTATAAATGTTTAACAAGTTTTATTTATGTTTGTAAAATACATGAATAAATTTAAAGACATTGATTATCTAAAATTATTTTGAATTGATAGATTTCTCATATAGTTTATAATAGTCTCAAAATCCCAGCTCAGATTTTAATCACACCCAAAACTTTCTCAGAATTCCCTAGACTGATTATTAGAAGGCATGAGAAGGAAACCAATTTATAGCAGTTTCAGAACAACTAGAGATAGACTGCAAATGGATCAATGAGATGTTACAGTCACCCAGATTACATCCTGTCAAAAGGTCCTCACAAACTAGTAATGAAAGACAACCTGTCAGGAGTAGTCATGGAGTTGTTACACACTTTTAATAGAGCAATTTTGAGATCATGATGTGCACAGAATCCTACTTAAAATGGCTCAGATGAGTTCACCTATCTCAGCCAAGGCTGTAATTGATTTATAAAAGACTTTACACACACACTGAAATTTGGCCTCCAGGTATCTTTAAGTCTTGTCTTTAATTTTCCCAATTTTCTTTTTAATTTTCTTGAAACCCATCTCCTCCAAAAATATAGATAAGAATGACAAAGGAAATTCTGGAAAGAATATCAATAAATTCAACAATCCTGTACTTAGTTTCCAGATCTTTTATTACTTTTTTCAAGTCTATAATTTTAAGATTTCAAGTTATTTGTCCAATATATAAATTTATTTTATTTTTTTTCATGCAATAAAACTCACTGCTCCTGGGTGGCTGGTCATAAATGAGATAACACTCTATTCAATATGGTTTATATCTGGGAGGACCTTAGTTGCCTGAAAGCTGAGTAGTATCTAAAAACTCTTAAACATAATCACCTATTAGTACATTTAAAAATAAATTCTTCTGAGGTCATAAATTCTAGACTAGCCTGGCCAACCATGGCCAACATGGTGAAACTCTGTCTCTACTAAAGATACAAAAATTAGCTGGACGTGGTGGTGCACACCTGTAATCCCAGGTACTTGGGGGGCTGAGGCAGGAGAATCACTTGAACCTGGGAGGAGGAGGTTGCAGTGCACCAAGATTGCACCACTGAACTTCAGCCTGACTGACAGAGTGAGACTCCATTTCAAAAAAATAAAAAATAAATAAATAAATGAATTATTCAGTACTTTAAGGTTAAGACACTGACAGTCAGTGATAGTTTTCATCAGTAAATTAAAGTCTGCTGAAATTAATGTGGAATACATTGTTAGGAAAGGAAATTTAATAAGAGAGCATACTTAGATTTATTTGGAAAACATTTAAATTAGCTTTGAAGAAAATATAGTAAAACTTGGATCAGCAATTAATAATACAATTTAGAGGAACAAGAAGAAAATAGAACACAGAATTTGGGAAAACATGTAGATGATAATATGCTAAAGTTGTGTGTGAACCTGAATTATCATGGTGTGCACCCATGTCATCCATGTGCTTAAGCCTACAAAGCAATTTCAAGCATATTCTCTCTCTCTCTCTCTCTCTCTCTCTCTTTCTCTTTCTCTTCAGGAGACATCATCTCACTCTGTCACCCAGGTTGGAGTGTGGTGGTATGATCATTGCTCACCGGAGCCGCAAACTTCTTGGCTCAAGTAATCCATCCGCCTCAACCTCCTGAATAGCTAGGACTACAGGTGTGCACCACCATGCCCAGCTAATGTTTTAATTTTGGGTGGAGACAGACGGGAGTCTTGCTATCTTGCCCAGGCTGATTTGGAACTCTTGGCTTCAAGTGCTCCTCCCACTTCAGCCTCCCAAAGCACTGGGG
Organism: Homo sapiens; assembly: GCF_000001405.40. Lineage (NCBI taxonomy): Eukaryota > Metazoa > Chordata > Mammalia > Primates > Hominidae > Homo > Homo sapiens. The sequence goes on along the minus strand of NC_000013.11, from coordinate 88,423,198 downwards.
CTGCAGGGGTGAGCCACAGCAACTTTCCTTTAATAAAACACATTTTCTCTATTGTCAATGTATTGTGTGAAGGCACAGGGCATTGGTTGTTGGTGAAGATAATGTTACCTATAGATGTAGGTACAATGTACCTACATCTAAATATGCACATATTTCTTCAGTCGACTTCTTACTCAGGAGATAGAGAGTATTATCAACTTCTTTAAGAAAGGAGGAATTTAGTGACTATTTAATAAATGCCCCTCCTGGCACTGGAAAGGTGTTAGTCATCATTTTTCCCATGAAAGTATGTTAAAACATCTAGTAAGTTGCCTGGCATATGTTAATTGCTCAATAATGGCTAGGAAAACTTCCATCTGAAAAACTTATTCTGCAGGAATTTCAAACATATTACCAAAAGTTATCCATATGCTTGTTCCAATAATCATTTATAATTTCAGCAATATTCAAAATATTTTGCAAATAGACTGAGCAAGAACAAACAGAAAGTGTTGTATATTATTTTTTATACATTGAAAGAGGCTCCTGGATGACTTTTGTGGTACCAAGTCTTAGCAAAGGCTTTCTTGGACTCTTCAGGAAAAAGTGATATTGATGAGATGAGAGTAATGTGGGGACTGGAAAAGCATATCTTTTCCAAAGTGTAGGGAAATAAATGTCAAATTATTTAACAATTGTCAAGGCTACATTTGCTCAGAGTGACTTAATATGAACTCTTTTATGTTATCTGTATCTGTCTTTACCTATGTCTATATTTATACCTAATTTGTGAAACACACAAATACACTAATTTTATCTTAACTAAAGACTATAACTAGAAAAGCTTAGCTAAAATTATCTTTGCTGTTAGAAAATCTGAGTTTTATTAGTCATTTCTTATCTGAGTAACTAACCTTAGGCAAGTCATTTAATCTCATTGCACTTAAGTTTTATCACTGGAATTACAGGTGTAAAATAATATCTCCTATATATCAGGAAATTGAAAAGATATAATTGTGTAGGATATGATTAAATAGTAAAACTTTACATTAGATTGTAAAGCAAAATAGTCATATATTACATAAAATCTATTCAGTGCATACTTTATGTGATGCCCCATTCACTTTTACTATTCCAAAAAGTTTTCAAAATAATACTTTTTAATTACTACTCAATAAAGATGAAAAATAAGTAAGCTTGTACAATAACTAGTATTTTTAATGCTTCCACTGAGTATATTTGAACTTCATTTGTTCCACTCTTACATTTGTCACAAATTTTATTTTTTTAACAGAACAAGATTATATTTCAATATACAACTTCTGTGCAACCAAAAAACAAAACGTCACAGTAAAATGAATGAGAAAAAACATATTTGCAATTCTAGACAAAATGTTAACATCTTTAGTCATAAATGAACTTTTCAGAAATCAGTACAAAGAGATTAACATTACAAAGGAAGTGAAAATAAAAGGAACAGAGGAAAATGGAATAGCAGAAATGAGTTATAAGGCTATATGAAGATGATATACTTAACATTAAAAGTTGAGAAAGCAATTTCATTATAAATGACATTATCGATCCTCACAAATATTGATATCTGATGTTTGTACAGCTTTAAGAATGAAGAATGATCAAATACTGGGGAAACCTACTCTAGTCAAGGGGGGTTTATCCAAAAATGTAGATTTTTGCATAAACTTGGCCCTGGCAGTTCCAAACCATAGGAATCACTCCAACAAAGCAGTTGGATACACACCCACACACATACACATACATGTTTACTACATAGAAAGTATGTAAATAATATATCCTCCCACAAGAAACTATTTATGTATCAACTGGTTTATAAAATAATAGACTGGGGGCTAGAAATAGAAAAAAGGCACTTAAGTAAAAATACTACATTTCACAAAATTCTATGTCCTTTGAATTTTTTTTTTTTTTTTTTTTGAGACGGAGTCTCGCTCTGTCGCCCAGGCTGGAGTGCAGTGGCGCGATCTCGGCTCACTGCAAGCTCCGCCTCCCGGGTTCACGCCATTCTCCTGCCTCAGCCTCCCGAGTAGCTGGGACTACAGGCGCCCGCTACCACGCCCGGCTAATTTTTTGTATTTTTAGTAGAGACGGGGTTTCACCGTGTTAGCCAGGATGGTCTCGATCTCCTGACCTCGTGATCTGCCCGCCTCGGCCTCCCAAAGTGCTGGGATTACAGGCGTCCTTTGAATTCTTATGAAACATTTTTAATAAATTAGTTTTATATTTACCCTGTGATACAAATTTTAATTTTATATTTATTATTATAGACTGATTGTTTGTGACCCTTCTCTCAAATTTATGTGTTGAAATTCTATCTCCCAAAGTGATGATACTAAGAGGTGGGGTGTTTAGGACGTAATTAAGTCATGAGAGTAGAACCCTCATGAATAATATTAGTGCCCTTAGAAAAGGATTTCCAGAGAATTTCTTTAACTTTTTTTGCCACATGACAATACAACTGAGAAGCTGAGAGTCTGCAACCCAGAGAAGGGCCCCCAACAGAACCCGAACATGATGGCACCCTGATGTTGGTTTTCTAGCCTCTAGAACTTTGAGAAATAAATTGTTACTAATAAGGCACTTAATTACGGTATTTTGTTCTATCAGCCTGAACTGAGTAAGACAAATTTAGAGACTTCAAGATATTAGTATTATTGTTTTGTGTGTTCAATGTTTATTTTCTTTTACCCATATATTTTCCATTCACATTGCTGTTATATTGTTTTCTTTAATTCCCTGTTTTCTTCTGAGAAGAATTCTCATTTATTATCTCTTTCAGTGCAGATATGTTAATGACAAATTTCTTCATTTTGATTTTTGTGAAAGGATCATTTTTCTTCTTTTTGTAAAGATATTTTCACTAGATAAAGAATTCTAAATTGTCTTTTTTTAATTTCAGTATTTTGAAGATAGATTTCATCATGTCATTTTTTTCTGGCTTCTACCAATTCTAGGGATAAGTCAACTAACATTCTTGTTGTTAATCCCTCAGAGAAAATATTTATATTTTCACAGAGTGTTCTTGACATCTTTTCTGTTTTTGGTCTCTTCACTTTGAGTTTGTGCCTATAGATTGCTCTTATTGTGTATAATTCGGTGTTTGAAGAGCTTTTTGAATCCACAGGCTGGTATATTTCAGCCATATTTGAAACAATAATTAACTGTCTTTTCAGTATTTCTTCTTCTGCAATATATTTACCCTATTCTTAGACTCCCTGTGTCACACTTGTTATTTTTTCTCTTCATTACTTCCAACTTTTTTTTTTTGTATTTCTTGGCTTCAATTTTGATACCTTTTAGCCAGTTTTTAGTTCACTCATTCAATTTTCTGTTTTGACTATGCTGCTTTTAAACCAATCTATTGATGTCTTAATATTACAAATTATATTTTACAGGCTTAAAATTTCTACATTAATCTACCTCTCTTCCTTGTATTTAACCCTTCTGAATATTTAATTGAGGATCTATTATGTCCAATAGAGACCCTCCTTTTGGCATGTCTTTGTCTACCCCTCGCCTAGAAACTATAAAAAGAGCAACTCTGCTTTTGAAACATTTTGGCTTATATATTTATTCACACCACATGGAAATTCAGACTTCAGCAAAGCTGACTTTGTATTGATGATCTTCATGCTGCTAATTTTGCTACTCTAACTTCAAGTGACAGACAAAATCTCTGCTTCTTTCTCTGTCCCGGTGCAATGGCCTTTTACACAACATCACACTAGAATTTTTTAATTTTAGCTTTTGCCTAGAATGAGAAATTATCTCTAGGGAAAGAGGAGTTGTAGATTCTCAGCTCACCATTAATTGTAGAGTTCAACTGACAGCCTATTATACTCATTGAAGCACCTTCCGCTAGCATTAAGAGGCTAGAAATAAAATCTACTGTTTTATACGTTTTATTTTAACTTCTAAGTTACTTACCTCGTATAGGTTCATAATTAAACAATTTTCCAAGAGAAACCAGGCATATGGCTGAGATGTCTAGTCCCCATTTGTGTCATTTAATCCTGGTGACATGACAAAGACTGTTGGACACTCTGTTCCGCAGTAGCTGCTCACTATGCCGAACTTTAAATTTACTCTCCTGTTCAGTCCAGAATTTGCATGCTCACCTAGGAATAAAGCATCCATAGATCATTAGCAACTTTCCCTGAGAACAATTTTTTTCTGAAATTTTAGCCCCATTTTCTATACTTTGATTCCGTAGTTTCCTGATGGGTTTCAAGGAGTATTTTTATTTTCTTTCTTTCCTGGATTTGTCAATTGGCATATTAGTTTGCCAATAACTGTTTTATTTCTTGTAGAAAAATAAAAATTAAAAATTTGTTCTAAAAATTACATCTTGAGCTACCTTAAAATACTAATTAAATTTAATTCCATTTAAAATCTAGGGTGCTTTCTACTCTGCATGTGGACCCTGGCTGACAAACTTGAAACAAACTTAAAGTAAGTAACTCCTCATGTCTTCACAACACATAAATAGCTCTTGGATCTTAATCTGGAAATCCTCTTAGTTTCTTAATCCATATTTAAATAACATTTATGGTTTGAGGCACTATATAATTGACAGATTTATTCATTGTATTTTCAAAATACAATGAATAGATATGTTCTTTAGATGACATTGTCTTGGACAATTACATTTGCATTTTCAACAAGTTATATTACACATATGTTTGATTTTAACTGAGATAATACAAAACAGGTTTCATGTATCATGTGAACAATATAATACAAATCTTCACAATATATTTCATTCAGTCTAAAAGTCAATAATATCTCAGCGATGTTTTCATTTTCTCAAACTAATATAGGTCTTGCACTGCTATTTTCAATTAGTGCTACCACTATAAAGTGGGGAAATTTGAAGCTTTGTTAATAGCAGAAAGAAAATAATCATCAAATCAAAACTGAAAAGATATATAATTACATATAGCAATACAGCAGCATATTAATTTAATTGCAAAAATATGATCAAGATATGCTTCAGAACCCAAATTTGACTTTCAGTTGAAGCTGTGTTTTTTCCTTGTTAAAAAATTATATGATTTGAAACTCTGCACAGGCAAACTACAGTTGATGGGTCATTAAAGAAATTTTAATATCCAGTGTAGCCAATAGTTCTCCTAGTTATCAATTACTTGACTCAAATACAGTGAACTGTTATTACCTAAGTCAGCAAATTTCCTCATACCTGGCAACACTCAAAGCTAAGTGAGAAATGAATGACATTTTGAATTTATTACGAAGGAAATATTATATAATAAGGCATAGATTTTCTTGTTGAGAAGTCAAAGTTAAATATTGATCATCATTAGAATTCCTTATAACAATATCCATGCTCATTCAAAACAAATTTATTTCAATGAAAATCTAATTGATTAATAAAAACATACCTTCACTGCATAGTTTATTTGAACATATTACTGCTGAAAGCCATCAGAGCAACTAGGGGCATCCATTTCTCCTAACCATAGAGTTTTATATTCATATGGTTAATTAAAATACAGCTGGTATATAAATAAATGTGGTCTTCTTGAGGGGCAGTTTAGAAAAAAGTTAAACAAAAATAATATTGTGATAGTTGGGCACAAAGAAATTTCACCAGAAAAAGTATTGTTGTTTTTCAAATGCTGAAACACTGCACTGTACGATATTACAAATAATATATTTTTGTTAAGTGAAATTACATAGGCAAACAAAATTACATAATTAAATAATTTTAAGAAAAATACCTAAATATAAAAGTTTCTAATATTTACATAAAATATGTAAAAATAAAACATGCTTAATAAAATATAGAGGAGTATGCAATTGAAAATTGATCAATTCTAGGAAGCAGGATGGCGTTTTAATTTTCAGTAAGGATGAAAAGCTCCCAATAAGCCAATCATCCTGTACATGTTGGATACAATCTTTGAACATGGTGTAATTACTTAAAGCTCAAAAAACCAAAATGAAGCAGTTAGATTTTGAACATTGTTAAAACAGGAAGAAGAGATGGTCACATTGCTAGCTGTCCCAGTTTGTTTGTTTGTTTGTTTAGGCTTCAGACTGAAAGCTTTTTTACATGTCTAAAACTAGCTCCCGAAAGTCTTACTTTCTGGCCAGGAAACAGAGAAGCCTTTTATCAAGAAAAAAACATGAGATAGTATCAGGAAAACTCCAGGAAGGAGAGAATCCGAAAAAAAAGGAATTACTAATTGTGTGGATAGAGTAAATCCAGTCGCCTGGATTTATGGTGAGAACAGCCTGGCTGTTCTCTGAACCTCACATATGAAAGGAAGACTAAGTCCCTTGCAAATAAAGCTGAAACAATTAAAGCCAATTCTAAGCCTCTTTCTACTCAGGTATGACAGTCTACAATTTGAGTTTAAAGTTAATTTAAAAAAATATTTTTAAGAGTCCACAATATTTGATACAACTAGCAGAATTCTCAATCTCTGCAATATAGCATTTATATTATCTGTGATGCAATAATACAAGACTCAAACTGTAAAGTACTGGGGACTATGATCCATTCTTGTTTCAAGAGATCAACAAATGTCAATCCTGAGATGACAGATAAGAAAAAACTATATATACAGAAGCCGTTATTGTTGTGCTCAATGTAGTAAAGTTGTATACAATTTAAATAAATGAAAACTTAAGAATCTCAGCACAGAAATATATCATAAAATGGTAAATCATAGAACTGAAAAATTTGGTGTCTAGAACAAATAAAATAATGGAATGAAGTTGAAAGAAAAATGTCACAGAAATTTGAAGAAAAATAAATTATTCAATTTGAGTAGAAGAGATAAAAGGACTGACAAAATTAAAAATAGCTTCATGATCTTTGGGACAATATCACATTTAACATATCGTTCATTTGAAACCCAGAATGAGAGGAAAGAGAAAATGAACTGCTCCAGAATGAAAAACACATAAGTGATAGAATAATGGACAAAATCTTCTCTCACATTTTGAAGGACATAGCTGCAAACATTGAAGAGCTCAGCAAAGCTCAACAGAAAAAAAAATAAAGTTGAAGAGCACATCACTTAGACATATCAAAGCCAACTTCTGAAAACTAAGGATAAAGAAAAAAATCTCAACAGAAGCCAGAGAAAAATGATAAAATAATAAGAACCTGATCAAAAACAACGGAGAACAAAAATCTATGGAGCAATATCTTTAAAATGCTGAAAGAAGAAAAACCATCTACTCTTTTTCTGGATTTAGCAAAAATATGCTTCAAGGTAAGGTCATTGAAAGGTACATTCACGAAAAAGAAAAGTAAGGTAATAATAGATTGTTCTCATACAAGAAGTACAAGAAATACTAAAAGATTTTCAGCTTGAAGAAAAATGAAACTGGAAAAAATCACAATCGTTAGAATTGAATGAAAATATTGGAAATGTTAAATATATGGGTAAAAATAAAATCTTTTTTATTAATGTATTTAAAATATATATGATTGTCCATAACAAAAATTATGCAATATTATGGTGGGAATATATGTAGAATATAATACCTATGTCATTTAAAGCACAGAGGGTGATGGGGACTGGACCTAATATGGTTGCAAGTTTTCTATGCTTTATTTAACAAAAATCTTAATAGGCTGCGACAATTTAAGTATAATATTGTAATTAAAGAAAAATTATAAAAAATATAAAGGCATATAGCTAAAACACCAATATATTAATAGTAACAAAATTGGAATATTTTTGCATAATAAAAATGGCAGTTAATACAAAAACAGAAGGGACAGTAGTAAACATATAATAAATAGATGATGTAAGTGCAATCATATCAATCATTACATTCAATGTTAATGAACTAAACTCTACAATTAAAAGTCAGACATAATAATAGATAAAAACATAACACTCAATTATATACTATTCTGCAAGAAGGTTATCTTAATTATAAGGCATAAAGAGGCTGAAAAGAGTGAGTGAAAAAATGCGTTCAATAAAAACCATAAATATAGGCTGATGTGGCTATAGTAGCATCAGAGGGAATAAAGATGGAGACAATATTAGAAATAAAGAGGTAATTTCACAATGAGGAAAGGATCATTTCTCAGTGTAACTTAAGTATCGTAAGTTTTTATGCATCTAATTAAAGAGTCTCATTATTACAAAAGGCAAAAGTTGGCAGAAACAATGAAAGAAATAAATAAGTGCTCAATCAGAGTGAAAATTTTAACACTTAGCAATTAAAAGCACAACTAGTCAAATAATTTATAGAGTATTCAAACAACGTTATCAACCGTCTTGGCTTAAATTATATGTACAGGGCACTGTAAACAATAAAGACAGAATATCTTCTAGGGTACACATGGATCACTCACCAGGATAAAGATATGCTGGGCCAAAAAAAACAAAGGCTCAGAAAATGTGTTATGTTTGATATTATATGCAGTATAATATGTAATGCATAAATAAATAGTAAATCAAAAACAAAGAGTAATCCAGGGACAGTTTAAATATTTGGAAATTATTCTTCATATCTTGAAATAAAACATGGGTCAAAGAAACAATCTCCAGGAATTATTTTATCCAAATTCATGTCAGAAACAGATATTGCTAGGAAGATAATACAAGACAATACTTCAAACTTTTATCCACCAATACCATAAATGAATAATCTTTAATAAAATTTAATTCATAGAATACAGCATTATATACATATATATAAAATGAAGGAGTCAGGTTTATCTCAGCAATGCAGAGTTGACTTAACCTGCAAAAATTACATCACATAATATAATCTGTTCGTAGAAAAAGAGGAAACTAAATCACATTAGCATCTCCAAAGGTGTGAAAAAAGATTTAAGAAGATTCAACACATATTCATAACTCTCACAGAAAAAGGAATAGAATTGAATTTTTTTCATCTAACAAAGGGATTTTAGAAAATTATACTCTCCCTCTCTCTCTTTTTCTCAACACACACACATACACTGCAAACTACAGAACACTGACGTGCATTAAAAAAGACTGAAATAATTGAAAAGATATATAATATCAACAATTTGGAAAATAAAATTTCAATTTACAAAAATTTGCCAACATACAGAGGTCAACTCCATGCAAATCTAGCAGGCATTTTGGTTGAAATTGGCAAGTCAATTTATATATTATATGAAAATATAACTGCCAAGGCAAATCTAAGAAAGTAGAACTACACTGAAGTACTTATTGTACCTAATCTTGACTTATATAAAACAACAGGGTCGGGCACGGTGGCTCATGCCTGTAATTTCAGCACTTTGGGAGGCCGAGGCAGGTGGATCATGAGGTCAAGAGATCGAGACCATCCTGACCAACATGGTGAAACCCTGTCTCTACTAAAAATACAAAAATTAGTTGGGCATGGTGGTGCACACCTGTAGTCCCAGCTACTCAGGAAGCTGAGGCAGAAGAATCTCTTAAACCTGGGAGGCAAAGTTTGCAGTGGGCTGAGATTGCACCACTGCACTCCACCCTGGTGACAGTGAGACTCCATCTCAAAAAAAAAAGTAAAGAAAATTAAGAGTTGGTAAAACAAAAGACATATAGATCAATGAAACTGATGAGACAGTCCAGAAATAGACCTTCACACATGTTCAATTGCTTTTTTTATTTTTACTTTCATTTTTAAAATTTTTAAATTCAGGGGTACAAATGCTGGTTTCTTACATAGGTAAACTTGTGTCATGGGGATTGGTTGTACAAATTATTCCATCACCCAGGTATTAAGCCTAGTACCCATTAGTTGTTATTTCTGATCTTCTCCCTCCTCCCACCCTCTGCCCTCCAGTAGGCCTCAGTGTGTCTTCTTCCTCTATGTCTCCATGTGTTCTCACTTAAAAGTGAGAACATGCAGTATTTGGTTTTCTGTTCCTGTGTTAGTTTGCTAAGGATAATGGCCTCCAACTCCATCCATGTCCCTGGAAAGAACATGATCTTGTTCTTTTTTATGGTTGCCTAGTATTCCATGATGTACATGTACCACATTTTCTTTATCCAGTCTACCAATGATGGGCATTTAGATAGATTCCATATCTTTGCTGTTGTGAATAGTGCTGCAGTGAACATGTGTGTGCATGTGTCTTTATAACCTATAACTCCATAAAAAGTGAGCAATGAATATGAACACTTTTCAAAATAAGAAATACACGTGGCCAACAATCATACGAATACAAGTTCAAGATCACCAATCATTAGAAGAATGCAAATCGAAATCACAGTGAGATACCATCTAACACCGGTCAAAATGGCTGCTATTAAAACATCAAAAAACAACAGATCCTGGTGAGGTTGTGGAGAAAAGGGAAAGCTTGTACACTCTTGACGGGAGTGTACATTGGTTTAACAATTGTGGATGACAGTGTGGTGATTCCTCAAAGACCTGAAGACAGAAATCCCATTCGACTCAGCAATCCCATTACTGGGTATATACCCAAAGGAATATAAATCATTCTATCAATTGCTTTTTGACAAAATTATTTCATAACTCAATGTGGGAAGGAAGGAAAACCCTTCTAGAAACGGTGCTATGGGGGAAAAGAAAGCATCAACACTTAGCTTACACAATAACCTTTTTTTTTTTTTCAAATTTGATTACCCTAAATGTGAAAGACCACACTAAAACCTCCTCAAAGCCCTCTCAGGACTTGGGTTTTTTATATAGTACACAAATAGAGTAAATTATAATATTAAGAAAAATGAAGAGTTTAAGCTTTATCAAAGTGAAAAACTTTTGCTCTTTGTTTCCATTAACAAAATGAAAACACAAATCATATGAAGGGAGAAAATACTGCGACTCAATGTAAAACTCAATAATAAACAGTCCAACAAGGTAATGGTAGTGGAAAGTAAAATGTCACTACCAGTTGGAAAATGTTTAACAGTTTCTTAAAATGTTAGTAAGCACTGACCATAAAACCCAGAAATTCCACTGCTAGGCATTTAACAAAGAAAAATGAGAATACATTAGAATCAAATACTTGTACATGAATATTCATAATAGCTTTAATCATAATGGCAAAATTTTCAAATAACACAAACGTTCATCAACAGGTGAACAGAAAACAAAATACACTCTTTTCACTCAGCAAGACATTAGACAAGGGTGAAAGGAGATAGATTATTGATAAAAGCAACCCTAGTATGCATCTCAAAGGCATTAGGTTCTGTGTAAAATGAATTTTGAAAGAGTACATACTCTATGATTCTGCTTATGTAACATTTTTGAAATGACAAAATTATGAAGAATAAGAACAAAATAGTGGTTGCCAAGCGACAGGGATGGTGTGTGGGAGGAGTGAGAATATAAAGGGATAGAATGAGGGATTTCTTGATGGTAATATAATAATTTTGTATGCTGATTTAGTTGGTGGTTATACAAATCTCTATATGGGACAGAATTGCATACAAATGTACACACACGTGTGGATACATGTAAAGAAATGGTGAAAACTGAATATGGTATGTAGTCTATTTAAAGTTATCATATCATGGTTTTGATATCCTACTACAGTTATATAAGGTATCACCTGTCAAAGAAGCAGAGTGAAGCATTCAAAGGACTCTATGTGATAAACAGGGATGACTACTGTTATGCCGAACAACATAGATGAATCTCAAAATCATGTTGAATGAAAGAAACCAGTCACAAAAAATTTCATGCCATACAAGTTCATTTATATAAAAAGGCAAATTAATTATAGTGACAGAAAGCAGATCAATGTTCACACGGGCCAGCAGCCGAGAGAAATATACACTGCAAAGTAATATAAAGAAGCTTTGGGGGTGACTGAAATGTTCTGAGTCTTGATTGTGTTTGTGGTTTTACAGGTTTGTGCAACTCTCAAAACTCACCAAATTGTACACTTTGGAATGATGCAGTTTTATTGCATGTGAATTATTCCTGAATAAAATTACATAAAGTAAAACACAGGAAGGAGGAAGGTGCCATTGGGGTGTTTCAATTCTACTCATAATATATTAATAGAAGTAATATTTAATTTCTTTAGAAACATAGTTTGAATTTGTCTGTTTACAATTATATATGTATTTATTTGTATTTAAATAATAGAAAATTTTAAATTGATAAGAAAATGCAAGATTTTTAGCCTCTGCATAAATGTATTTCAAAGATTTGTCAAAAATATATCAAAGAGTACTTAATTCAATTACATTCAACGAACTTCATTTGCAGTTTGCAAAGTAAATGTTTTCTCTCAAGTCAGGTCATAATAAGCTATCAAGTGGAACAAGTTATTTTGTGTGTGTGTTTATACTGACTAATATAGTCAGCTATTTTTTAAAAATTATCTTTATTTATGTAAGGGATAGGAAAAGCTAAACCAGTGAGTAATAATAAAAGTATATATTGCTGCATTTATGGCATGATATCATCTTACTGTCTTTAAGCTTATTTTACTCTAATGTATAATAAATTTCCTAGTGAAAATTTGGAACATTATTTTTACAATGAGCTGATTTTTTTGTTTTAAAGTCTCACTCTGTCGCCCAGGCTGGAGTGCAGTGGCATAATTTCAGCTCACTGCAGCCTCCACATCCTGGGTTCAAGCAATTCTCCTGCCTCAGCCTCCTGAGTAGCTGGGATTACTGGCACATGCCACTGCACACTGTGCCTAATTTTTGTATATTTAGTAGAGAGGAGGTTTTACAATGTTAGCCAGGCTGGTCTTGAACCCTTGGCCTCAAGTGATCCTCCTGCCTCAGCCTCCCAAAGTGGTGGGATTACAGTTATGAGTCACCGCACCGGGCCACATTGTGCTTTTTATAGAATGGGTTTGTCAGAAGCAGACTCTGAGATGAAGAATTCTATGAGGGTGGTTCATTAGAAAGGAAGCATTTCCGGAAAACACCAGTACAGAGTGGGAGAGTGGGCCTGAGAAAGGAAGAAGGGCAAGCACGTTTGTAATATTAAGTCCCACTGAGCTCATAAAGCAATGTAGGTTATACTTCAGTGAAGTCCAAATCAATTGTACCAAACCAATCAGACATTAGCTAAGGGCTGCCCCTGAGGAGATGTAAATTCGCAGGCACTTCCAGCTACCTCTGCACTTGCAGAAAACGTGCTCTCCAGGAGACTAAGGGTAGCTCTTCCATAAAGGCCCTCAGTTCTGGTTGTTGGTAATAAAAGCACATTGGAGAGCAATGTGCACAAAATTGATGAAGGAATATGACAGTGATCAGACAAAGCAACACCAACATTTGTTGCAGCCTTGGATACACTCATGCCTCACACTGGATTCTCTACATGGATTCTTCAGAATGATAACTAGTCATGATTACAAAGGGTTGAATTCTACAAGAGAACAATTACTGCAATGAACTGTAGTTCCTGCTGCTAAAGTTGTTGCCAAGGCTATAATTGCCAAAAGATATTTCAAGCCTCATCAGAACAAATCATTGCACCTTTGAGGTTGAAAAGACTGTCTCTACCATCCACTGTAGTTTACCCTGAGTCTACACTTCTGTAGTGTATGATGCTCTCCTGAGTACCCTTCAAGACTCACATCCCTATACCTCTGGTGGCCATTCACTTGCCTGATAATTACCTGACCACAGTTCAACAATATATGGGAGCATGAAGAGATGGACAGTGGATTCCCGAGGTTTCCAGACTTACATTTTCCTACTCGCATTCAATGTCTAATATCCTACCATCTCATGATGATCAAGATTAATAATTTGTTTCATTTATTTGCCTACTTGCTTATTGTAACAAGTATATAAAAATGACCAGATGGCAGTGGTACATCTATTTTCAGTGGAAGTCTTGATGTGTTCCCTGGTGATTCCCAGGAACTCTAGATACTGTGTTTAAAATTGTAAGGACAAGAAATATATCTTCTTCAAATAAATTCCTTGGAGTGAAGGTGAGAAGAGACATTCTTACTTCAGACCCTCGATTCCCAGACATGTTTATTCATTCTTTCAGAGGCATAGAACTACACAGTGGCCATTGATTCCTGGCATATACTGCATGTTGAAAAACAGTATCCTAAACCCATAGTGTGCCATTGAGATAGGAGGCAAGACTCAATTCTGGAGTCAGGATTAGGATACTGACCAAATCAAGGACTTGCTAAAACAGGGACAGGGCAGAAGCAGCAGCTTTCTATAAAGATATGCCCACCTGTGTGCCATGTTTGTTTACCATTGCCATGGCAAAACCCAGGAGTGACAATGATCCGATGACCCAGAAGTTATTACGCTTTCCTTAGAAATTTCTGCATAAACTGCCCTTTAATTTGCATGTAATTAAAAGTAGGTTTACATATTTCTGCAGAACTGCCCTGAGCTGGTTCTCTCAGCATACTCACTATGGGGTAGCTGCACTGCTCTGCAGGATCAGTCATGGAGCTATAACACTGCCTGAGCTGTAATACCACTGAAGCTGTAACACTGCCACTTCAGTAAAGCCATTTTCTTCTACCACCAGCTCATTCTTGATATCTATCCTGGGTAAAACAAAGAACCCTTCCAGACTAAGCCCCAGTTTGGGGTTCACCTGCTTTGCATCACCATCAGGAGCTTCAAATTGGCACTGTAGGTATGTCTTTAAAAGGTCTTTCCAATGTCCTATCAAAACAGCAGCCCTAAGTAATTTACTATGAGGCATGAGCAGTAGGTCCCACAATGTCGTATTCTCATTGAAGAGCAGATATTTTGGCCTGTGCAGCATCAGTGTTGTGTGGGATCCCATGATCGTAAAGGACATATTCTCTTAGTCCTTGTATAGTGCTGCTATTCCAGTGTTCTGTAGTCAAAAAGGCAAACTCTTACAAAAAACACAAATTGACCCTGTTCAGAATAAATTACTGCCCTTTAAAAGTTTGAAAAGCCTTACTCTGACAACTTGACACAACTTCCGGTGGATTTCTTTGAGACATGTGTTGGAATTCTATACCTCACAATTTAGATTTTCAGTAATGGGAATAACCACATCAGCCTTGGTGAGAGGAAGACTACGTTGCTGGGCCTACACATAGCTGTACATCTACTTAATTTATAAGCCCACTGCTCAGTCACTGAGAATAGAGGCTGGCTAATATCTATGTGATAAATATTTTTGTCCCCTTGTGGTTAGTGCTTCTTTTTAAGTGTGTGATCTAGGTTATGCATTAATTTGAGATTCAGCCTTTCTCAAACCTTGGTACCATTGTTCCACCCACATGACTATTCCCCAGACTTCCTTATCTCTTTCTTCAAATATTGCTCCTTCCAAGCCCCCAAACCAACAAGCTAAGCTATTAGCCATTCTCCAAGAGTTCATAAATATTCTTATCTCAGACTATATCACTCTTCACCGTGGATGGCCAGGTGCATCTCCTGAACTCTGTTATTTAGAAGATTTCCACTCACCCCTCTTTCAAGGACCTCCATGCTTGGTGGTGGTGTTTTCTGGCAAAGTCATTTTCAGCTCATAAAAATATGCTGAGGTAAACTATACACAAAGTAGGACCTATTTTTCCTCCATCAGCAGATTCTAAAGAAATCCCTTCGGCACATAAATGTAAGCTAAAGGAGCATCATTACTTGAGTAGATGTTTATGACCTGAGGCACTGGCTATCTAGTACCATAACTTTCTATGTCCTTGGCACCTAATAGTCTTTACTCCAGGTTGACCATTGCTATTACCTGGTAGACAGCTTCTGTGCCTACTCAAAGTTTGCAGATGACATATGGTTGTTTGTTGCAAACAGCACAGTTTTGTTCTTGAATCCTAGGTTCGTGTCCTACAACTCGCTATAGAGCTTTCAGTTTCCAAATGGCACACAATTTACCACTGTTATCTCCAGTAGCACAACTGAATATATGAGGTCTCATAGAACAAAAAGAATATGCGATTGTACCCACTCACCACTGACAGCCTTCAATTTATCCAATAATTATTCAGAGAAGTACTTCCCAAAGTAGGCCAAAATCCAAACTGGCTTACCAAGCACAGAGTGGTGGTGTAGGAACTCCAGTATACAAAGACTTTTCTTTCAGCCTGGAGGATATATCTTGTCATCCTCCTCATTCCTAGAATCTTAAAAGTTTATACATTATGGAAATCACTAATGTTTTCTAGAGTTTATTTTCCACCCTCAGGATTTTATCTTAGAAAGACATCTAGAATTTTACCACTATGTGCTCTTCATGTCTAATGGACACAATATAACCAATATATTTATGTGGTGTATATACATTTCAAGGTCCTTTTGGAATATATTTTAGTAGAGGGCAGAAGAATAAGTATAGCCTTAGAACAATACCTTAAATTTGTAGTATTGTCCAAAATGAGTGAATGTTTTTGTCCTCATACATTTTTAAAAGAATACCTATACCAAATCCATAACATATAACCTATCAGGGCACAGAGAGTATTGATTAAGATTGCAGAGGTATACCATCATCTACAATAAGCTGTTTTTTCCAGGGGCTAGAATGTCAAATAAATGAAGACATGACGAGCACAAATAACCCTTTATCTTTGTGCCAGTGAAAGTGGTTTTGATCTCTGCCTTGCTTCTCAATATATGTCACTGCTTTTAATTTAAAATCTTGAGAAGTGGCAATAATTGAAATTAATGCATTTTACAGGTTATATATATATATATATATATATCCATTTTGAATTTATACTGAGCCACTGCTAACTAGCTACCTTGGATGTACTGGAACCAATGAGAAACAAACTTTGGCCAGGCTTCTGCTTACTATCTGTCTTCTGTATACCTCTGCACAAATGACAATCCATAGTATCAATGTAACTTTGACAAAATGTCAAATATCTCTTATAGAATTTGTGTATTTCTCTTTCCCCAGTCTACAGTTACTTAGGTGAATGATCACACATTTGGAGAAGGAATGGAGGGATTATTAGTGCATATATTTTCTGTGTCATGGTATGATTCTTCAAGAAATATTAGTCTTTTCAACTGATTATCTCCGGTCTGAGGAATATCTCAGATACTATATAAGATATTGTGATTTTTTTTCAGTGGAGCAGCTGATAGCCTTGTAAATCATTCTCTTTTTAATATCAAATGTATCATTAGACATTTTTGACTATTAATTAATTTTTCACAAGGACCACTATAATCAATTGGCCACTGTCATAATTCTCTTTAGGTCATGTCCCATGCTTTCCATTTGATCCCAGAGTCTGTTAAGGTGATTATCTCTGTCATACATCTAGTGGTTTAGTGCTGCCACCTGACCGCCACTTTTCCAGCAGCGTTTTATCTACTCTACTGATAAGGAGACCAGATTAATAAAAACATGTCTTAACAGCTCCCCTGGTTTACTTAGACACTGGTGATTTGCCGAAGCTTAAATATTACCCTTCTTTCTAGTTCTGCTCGCCTTATGATCAAAGCCTCTAAGTATTGGAGATAAAGGTCTCTGATCCCATGAAGACAAGCTGAAATGCTCACCATGCCATGAGTTGGTAAACAGTTGGCTCGATAGCTCTGTTTTCCTCCAGGGCACCGGTGGAACTTAGCAAAACCAACAAATGCAAAATCTTTTATTTTTTAGACCTCAAGGGAAAAAATAAATTTGCAATTTTAAAAAAATTGCTTTGAGACAGGATCTTGCTCTGTTGCAAGTGCAGTGGCATGATCACAGCTCACTGCAGCCTTGACCTCCCAGGCTTAAGGGATTCTTCCCCCTCAGCCTCCCAAGTAGCTGAGATAATGGGTGTGTACCACCACACCTGGCTAATTTTTATTTTATTTTATTTTATTTTATTTTATTTTATTTTATTTTATTTTAACAGAGACAAGTTCTCACCATGTTGCTCAGGCTGGTCTTGAACCAGCCCGATCCTCTTGCCTCAGTCTCTCAAAGTGCTGAGATTACAGGCATAAGCCACTGTGCCCAGCTTCATTATGTCTTAAATTACTATTTTTCCCCATATCTGTTTAGTGGTAGATATTTTTTAGAAACTATTAGGTTTCCTTCAATGTGAATCACATCCCAATTACCTACAGGCTTTCTTAGCTACAATAATGCTACCATATAGCATGAATAATTAATACTCTACTTTTATGGACGCCGTGGCCCCTTTTGTTATCTGGCCAAAGAAGACTCAACTCGAGAATTCTATCCTGAGACTCTGCTACCTAGAACCACATTGGAAACCAGATGTCTCAGTTTGGATTTCCTAGAAGCAAACGCTGAAACAAGAATTTAAGCAGAAGTGCATAGGAAATATTCCAGGAGGTAGGTGGGGTGCTGTGAGAGTGAGAAAGTGAGAAAGTAAGAATCTAAGGAGCTCAGGCAAAGGCACAATATCAAGCAAGTTTCCACAGGTGGTAACTTTGATTAAATGAAGCTTTGGAGTTTTGGAGATAATATAGATCTTACATAAGTTGTGGTAATCAGGAACAAGAAAGCCAGAAGATTTATACCTCATCGCCTATCTATTATTGTCTACGGGATACCTATTGGGAGACATGAATTCCCTGTCACCGAAGGTTCTTAGTACACAGATGAGGGGCGTAATGCGATATGGAAGGCTAGGGCAAGGGTCTGGTAAGGAGATGCAAGTTCCGGCTGTTGGAAGTGAAAGCACACCAGAAGTCCATGTGCATGAAAATGAGAAAGGCATCAGAGTAATCATCGGTGGAATATTGACAATATCTGAAAACAACACTTAAATGTTTACGTATTTGTGAATATTTTTTAAATGCTAGGAGTTTAAATAGGATATAACAATATTTTTAGTGGCTACAACTTATTACTAATTTTCTGTGCTTTGAGATAAAATTATTTTTAGAAGGCCAGCAGAGGGGACAGCTTACATACTTACAATTATGTATTAGTTGAAATACTCTGATATTATTTTGTTTGCCTTTCATATTATCCTTGTGTCAATCCTTGTATTATTATTATCCTTGTATCCTTTGCATTCCAACAACAGTTGTACAGTTTACGTAACCCTGATAAATCATTAAAATTATGATTTTCCCCCAAGCTGATGTTAGGTGGTCCATAAAACATCCCCTCTCCAGAGGTCCTGCATTGTGTATTAGTCCATCTGAAATATTAGTATTACATATTTTTATGGTGCCCATTATCAAAATAAGGTAATAGTTACATTTCAGATAGATTAGAGCATAAGAAGATATACTTTTGATAAATGAATAATTATTGCAATTAAAAATAATTACATAAAAAATTAAAATTTGGCCTATAATGAAGCATAGTGTCCCTACTAGAATAATACTGGATGTATTCGCTTGCCCTACTTGTGAAGGTGTGTGTTTATCATTGGGCTAGAGGATGAGGCCAGCCTAAATCTGAAGTGAAATGAAAATGTGAAACTCATTCCCCTCTCCAGAGGTTTCTTCATGTGGCTAATGAAAAGAAATTTTAAAGTAAAATTTTAAAGTAATTATCAAGTATGCATACACTTACTGCAATAAACTCTACTTTTCCTGAAAGTTTATTGTTTGAAAATTGATTCTGTCTACGAAAATAGTGTTTATCTGGCATTCTTCAGCATTCACTGGAGAATATCCATCAGTTTTCAATGAAAGCATCTACTGAGATTGAACAGAAGGGGATTTTGATACGAGCAAATAAAACACTTGTTAACAAGACATAGAAGAAACAAAGAGGTATGTAAAGGAAAACTAGAATTGTATAGGATTTATGCCATGAATAGATAATTGCTCTGGAAGAGACAATTTACTGTAGGGTGACCTCATTTCCTGTCATATGTCAAATTCAGTTATTTTCATCACAATGACATGACCTATTCTTAGGTTCTATATATACAGGGAACGTGAAATGACAGATGAACATTTATTCAGTGACTTTAATCAATGTGGACAGATTGTTTATAAATTCTTGTTTTTAAGAGAAGCAATTTGCTTTTCACTAATTATCTGAATAATGGTCTCCATTCTTCCCCAGATTTGTGACTCTCCAAATGTTTTCTCAGACACTAATTTGCTGACAGTAATTCAATGTTCCATTTACATCATTCTATGAAAGACAACTGCATATGTTTATATACTACATTTATTTTCACAACTCAATTTCTTTGCCCATCTTTTTCTTTAGTTCTTTAGTCCATTACATTTCAGTAATATGCTAAATAAAAATCCTACAACTTGAAATGTCTAGTTCACTTTTCTCATTGCATGATTTGTGTAGTAGGGGTGGTGTTAACTTCCAGAGGCACAGTTCTTAAACATCAGAGTAGCTGATGATTCATTATCTTGGCAGATGACTTTGTCTGCTGGCCTAACAAGAACATCCTAGAGCTCTTATTTTAATATGATTTCATATACATTTGTTAACAATACGACTTTCATACATCATATACTGTTTAATAAAATCTTTAATAACTGATATATGCAAACAGAAAAAGGAAACATCTAGGAATACTTATATGATCCTAAAATTTCTAAGCAAAATTTCAAAAAGAACAAAGCTAAAGGCATCACACTACCTGACTTCAAACTACACTACAAGGCTACAATAACCAAAACTGCATAGTACTGGTACAAAAACAGACTCAAAGACCAATTAATATGTTAGAGGACCAGAAATAAAGCCACGCATTTACAAAGCCATCTGGTCATTGGAAAAGTTGACAATAATGAGCAATGGGGAAAGGACTTCCTATTCAATAAATGGTGCTGGGATAACTGTATAGCCATATGCAGAATATTGAAACTGGATCCCTTTATTTTACTGTACACAAAAATTTACTCAAAGACTTAAATATAAGACTTAAAACTATAAAATCCCTAGAAGAAAACATAGGACAGACCATTCTGGACATAGGCCTTGGTGAACTATGCTTCCAACAAAGGTCTGATATCTAGAATGTATAATGAATTTAAACAATTCGACAAAAAAAAAAACACAAACATCCACATTAAAAATGGTCAAAGGACATGAACAGATGCTTCTTAAAAGAAGACACACACATGGCCAACAAGCACATGAAAAAATGCTCAGGGTAAAACAGAACTACCATTCGACCCCAAATCCCAATATACCTTTGGTGATGTAACTGGGTATATACAAAAAGGAATACAAATCATTCTATTACAAAGATACATACATGCGCATGTTCATTGCAGCACTATTCACAATAGCAAAGACATAGAATCAACATAGATATCCGTCAATGGTGGACTGGATAAAGAAAATATGGGACATACACAACATAGAATACTATGCAGCTGCATGTTCTCACTCATAGGTGGGAATTGAACAATGAGAACACTTGGACACAGGAAGGGAAACATCACACACTGGGGCCTGTTGTGGGGTGGGGGGAGTGGGGAGGGATAGCATTAGGAGATACACCTAATGTAAATGACGAGTTAATGGGTGCAGCACACCAACATGGCACATGTATACATATGTAACAAACCTGCACGTTGTGCACATGTACCCTAAAACTTAAAGTATAATAATAAAAAGAGAATAATATGCAGCCATGTAAAAGAACAAAATCATGTTCTTTATAGCAACATTGATAGAGCTGAAGGCCATTGTCTTAAGTGAATTAATGAAGAAAGAGAAAACGCAATACTGCATGTTCTCACTTATAAGTGGGAGCTAAACATTGAGTTCACATAGACACAAAGAAGGGAATATTAGACTCTGGGGCCTACTTGAGGGTGGAGGGTGGGAGGAGGCTGAAGGCTGAAAATCTACCTATTGGATACAATGCTCACTACCTGGGTAATAAAATCATTTGTACACCAAACCCCAGCGACACATACTTTACTCATGTAACAAACCTGCATGTCTATCCCCTGAAACTCAAGTGAAAATAGAAAAAGAAAAAATAATCAAATAAATAAAATTTTAAAGATGCAAATGCAATAGCTCTAGTTCTTTTAATTAGAGATGATGCTTTTACAAGTGGATATTAGGAACCCATATAGTTGTCTTATAATTTTATATATGTCACCAGCCAGTTGATGGGTTTGTGCGGTGTTACATATACAACAAGATCTTGCTTACATGTAGTATAAGCCTTAAACAGAAAACAGAGGAGTTGGTCAATGAAAAGGAAGAATAAAAAGGTGTGTAGAAATCTTGATCAAAGGTCACCTTCTGGATAGAAATTTACCGTAGTTAGAAACATAGGTCATCAACAGAAGCCAACTATGACTTTTCAGTATATCAAAATATGTTTTTTTGACAAATTAATTAGAAAATAGCACAATAGTGTTTGAATTAATTAATGTGAAAAGTTTCTTAAGTATAAAAAGAAGATTCAGGCTGGGCACCGGTGGCTCACACCTGTAATCCCAGCACTTTGGGAGGCTGAGGCGGGTGGAAGTGTTGAGGTCAGAAGTTCAAGACCAGCCTGACCAACATGGGGAAACCCCATCTCTACTAAAAATACAAAAATTAGCTGGGTGTGGTGGTGGGCACCTGTAATCCCAGCTACTCAGGAGGCTGAGGCAGGAGAATCGCTTGAACCCAGGAGGCAGAGGCTGCAGTGAGCCGAGATTGTGTCATTGCACTCCAGTCTGGGCCACAGAGTGAGACTCCATCTCAAAAAAAAAAAAAAGTGACTGCACATTTTCTCCTTTATTAAGCATTCCAAGTTATGCTCTAAAATAAACTAATTTAGCCTCATATTAAAAGTGCTAATATCTTTAAAAAATTGTGGCTATTTCCTAATCAAAGGTTTCAAAAGGCATATTTTTAGCACATAAGAAAATGATGAACGAGAAACATTGATCAGCCAATGGGTAAGTCTTTGGGAGCTCCATCAAGAACCTAACATGGTTTATCTTTAAAGTCTGTGCCCATGAGACAGAGACAGGCAGAGACACAAAATTTTATGTCTTTAAATGGTAACCATATAAGAATAAAAATGTAGACAACTATTGTCATCAAATTCTTAGAATGCTCAGAATATTCTTTGACCTGATACCGTTGCCGCAAAATCAAAAAAATAGAAAGGAACAAACTATGAGTTCATACACATTACCCTGAAGCATTGCAACTCTGTCACAGAGATAAGTTCCTTGTTCCAAGATGCATATACTTCGGTTGTGAAAGTAGTTTATCTCTGTTTACCACGATAAACATAAAACCACATGCAAGAACCTATTACAGAAAAATAATAGTTTTCTGTAAGTGGACTGTATCCAACAGCACAGAATTACATTAAGTTCTTCACTTTAATTTGCAAATGGTAACTAATCTAGTCAAAATGTTAGGAGTAATGTGATCACTATATGTTAACTACCAATCCCTATATAGTGAGAAGGTGAAGAAGGAAAATCTAACATTAATGATATACATAGTTTTCTTGTAATAAAATGTGTCCAATCCATCTACGATTTTGCCCTTTAAGCTTCTGAGTGTGTATCAGTAGGGTACAGTCTATATAAAGTATGTAAGACTGTTGTCTTTGCATTTATGGTGCTAGATCCTGAACTCAGTGGCCGTCAGGAAGAGAAGATGAATGTGAAGTAGAGAATGGAAGGGAAAACTAGAACTTACAAGATCAATCTATCTTGTAATTGACAGAATGGAACCCATATTAGTATCTCACCATCCTCAAGCTTCCAACCTCAATGATGGTGGTGTCCTGAAAAGAAACTTGTACCTTTCCTCACAGAGCTACGCATGCACCTGATTCAGCAGTCACAGAGGCTAAAGAAGGCTCTAGCAAGTTGGAGGAGCTGAAAACTCTGCTGGTGCCTCTCATCAACAAAGTGATTCAGCAGATAAAATAACACATGAGTTAACTACAACAGTGTTTGCTGCACTTTTCTTAGTCATCTGGGTATAAAAATAACATGGTCATTGATTTACTTTTACCTTTCAAATCTCTTAGAAATGTCTCACGTGGTTTAGGATAACTGAGAACTGTGCTAGGAAAGGAATTATAAGAAACAGTGCTAGTTTAGCTAAGTTGAAATAATACAAATTTGCCAGACTGGAAAGTGAAGAGCAATAGGGTAATATCATAAGACATATTGCATGAGGGAGACATGTTGACACGAGTGGCCCAATTCAGATCTGTATATTTGGATACAAGTGAGTGATGTGTACTCGCATGGCCTGAAAAGGAACTTCTATTTGCAAATAAATTAAAATAATTCCTAAAAGAAAAAATACCCCACCTTAATTATCACTGAGGAAAACATAAGAAACTTTCTTTTAGACTTCCAATTTTAGAATAACGATGCATGGAACATTATAAACCTACTCTACAGATCTTCTCTCCAGAAGGAAAAAAAAAATGGGGAACATTGTGAAAAATCCACCATATAAATCTCTGAAATTGTCCTAAAGTTTTACGACACATGAAGAAACAATTATTCAAGAAAATAAATTAAATTTCTGCAAGAACAGTGAGACTCTGGAAACTGAACCAGGACCCACTCCTTCCTTTCTTCCTCCTCCTTCCCACGTCAGCACAATGACTATCCAAACTGAGTAAGTACAGCCAAATAAAGAGGGCTTCCTCTCAGGTCCCAATCAAGGGATATGGTATTTCACCAGGAATGCAGCTGTCAGCGTTTATCATTGCACCAGCTCCAAATTGCAGGGAGTAAGTTCTTAGCAATTGCTGTTTAAAGATTGGAGGCTTCCTTCCTCTACCCAGCTAACACTAATAAAGTAGATGCTCAACTCTAGGTATGCCAGGCTCAGGACATCACTACCCAGCTTGCCTTGGGGTACAGGTTTCATGCCAGGAGTCACAATCTGAGAAAATCAGAAGCTTTAATTCCCTTCCAGCACCCTGCTCGTAAAGCCGGGTATGACTACAAAAAGATGAGTTATCCTGGTTCAGAAAATAAACTCAAAAACTTTCCTAAAAAACTGTATCTGCAAAGGAGTTAGAGTTTAGTTATATCAGATGGTGTAGCAATTTATTCTGCATATGGCTATAAAGTTATGCCAGCACCGTTTACTGAATAAGGAGTCCTTTCCTCATTGCTTGTTTTTGTCAACTCTATTGAAGATCAGAGTGCAGCATCATTTCTGGGCTCTCTATTCTGTTCTATTGGTTTATGTATCTGTTTTTGTAACATGATAACATATCATGCTATCATGCTATTTTGGTTACTGTAGCCTTGTAGTATAGTTTGAAGTCAGGTAATGTGATGCTTCCAGCTTTGTTCTTTTTGTTTAGAATTGCCTTACCTATTCGGGTTCTTTTTTGGCTCCATATGAATTTTGTAATAGTTTAATTTTTTTAATTCCGTGAAAAATGTAATTGGTAGTTTGATAGGAATAGTATTGAATTTGAAAATTGCTTTGGACAGTGTGGCCATTTTAACAATATTGATTCTTCCTATCCATGAGCATGAAATGTTTTTCCATTTGTTTGTTGACACAAACATTTGTTTCTGATTTCTTCAAGCAGTGTTTTGTAATTTTCATTGTCTAGGTCTTTCACCTCCTTGGTTAGCTGTATTCCTAGGTAATTTTTTCTTTTGTGGCTATTTGTGAATGGAATTGAATTTTTGATTCTGCTCTCAGTTTGGATGTTGACATATAAGAATGCTATTCATTTTTGTACATTGATTTTGTATCCTGAGGCTTTGCTGAAGTTGTTTATCAGATCAAGGAGCTTTTGGGTAGAGACTATCGGGTTTTCTACGTGTAGAATCATATTGTCTGCAAACAAGGATAGTTTGACTTCCTCTCTTCCTATTTATTTATTTTTTTTCTGTCTCTTGCCTGATTGCTCTAGCTAGGACTTCCAGTACTGTGTTGAATAAGAGTGGTGAGAGAAGGCATACTTGTCTTGTTCTGGTCTTCTGGGGGAATGCTTCCAGTTTTTTTGCCCATTAACGGTGATGTTGGCTGTGGGTTTTTAATAGATGGCTCTTATTTTTTGAAGTACGTTCCTTTAATGCCTAATTTGCTGAGAGTGTTTAATCATGAAGGTGTTGAATTTTATAAAAAATCATTGTTTATTGAGATGATTATGTGCTTTGTGGTTCTGTTTATGTGGTAAATCATATTTATTGATTTCTCCATGTTAATCCAACCTTGCATCCCAGAGATAAAACCTACTCGATCGTGTTGGATTAGCTTTTTGATGTGCTACTGGATTTGTTTTCTTTTCTTGTTGTCTCTCTGCCAGGTTTTGGTATCAGGATAATGCTGATCTCATAGAATAAGCGAGGGAGGAGTCCTTCTTTCTCAGTTTCTGGAATAGCTTCAGTAGGAGTGGTACCATCTTCATACATCTGATATAATTTGGCTGTGAATCCATCTGGTCCTGGGCTTTTTCTGGTTGGTAGGCTTTTTAAAACTGATTCAATTTTAGAACTTGTTATTGGTCTGTTCAGGGACTGAATTTATTCCTAGTTGATGACATATCTTCTCAAATACAGAAACTCAATAATAAAAGCAAAATGGAAATTTTGGATTTAAAAATTACAAATGAAATTAAAAGTTCACTAGAGAAGTTCAGCAGTCAATTTGAAACCCAAATGTCTTAAGAATTCACATTCTCATAATTTAGAAATATTTTTGGAAAACAAATATTGGTTTAAAGTGTTGGTTTAATAAAAACAGCTACATCCCCTTAGTTGTCAGTGTTAACTATAATACAAGCATATGTTATTCTGTTTGTATAGGTTCTTCTTAACTTCATACAGGTTTGCTGTCCTAAGGAGCTATATTACATCTGTTAAATGTGTGATATGAAAAATGTGAATTTATGTTTAACTAAATTGACAAACTTTATTTCAACAGTCACTATATTTGGTAGTATGTCAGATTGAAGATATTTTCCAAGTTCTTTATATAAATTAACATCTTAAACTAAATTACATTAGTAAATGAATACTCACTGAGTATGTACATAATTTCTAAGTAAGAGAGAATAGTGAAGCATTAATTGCTAAGCATAATTTTAAGTTTATGTGGTTTCTGCTGCTTCCTTTTATGAGGTACTGAGAAGGCACATATATATTTGCATCTGTTAATAAATGGGATCCTTTTTCACACTGAGAAGTTGTAGTCTGACAAAGTATATATCTATAAAAAGTTTTGATATGTATGTTCATAAACTTTGCTAGTAGGTGCAAAATTCTGCTGTATGATAAACAGTTGAAATTATCCACATTTGAGTTCTCTCTCTGAAGCTGAGGTTACTATGAGTAGAAATCATAGTATCTGTGAATGAGACACTTCTAGGAGCAATAGTGGCAGAGAAAAAAAAGTTCTTTGTGTAAGTTAAGCAGCATTGCTTTCATTACAGAAAAACAGTAGTTTTGTCTGAAAGTAAAATGACTGGTTGTTTCAGAATGAGAAAGCAGAATATTTAGAATGAAACCTGAATCAATTTAGAAAGTCATAGAGAATTCATAGAAGTTTGATTTTATTTGCCATGCTTAAAGCTAGCCAAAGTTAATGTATAATTTTTTTGTCAATAAAAATATCTTTTGCTCTTTTGTTTGAAAGTTGAGTTGATGAAAAAGTAAAATTCAATTTTTTTTGTTA
This sequence comes from Homo sapiens, assembly GCF_000001405.40. Classification (NCBI taxonomy): domain Eukaryota; kingdom Metazoa; phylum Chordata; class Mammalia; order Primates; family Hominidae; genus Homo; species Homo sapiens. Next base: position 88,395,706 of record NC_000013.11, on the reverse strand, counting down.
AAATCTCAAATATCCATGGATTATTGGGCTGCCCTCAGTAGGACATTATTTTCTATACCTCTGAATAATCTGCTTAAGAAGCAGAGATTCTGTGTCTTATCAGAAAGAAGTCCCGTGCTTTATGTTGACTTTTTTCATGTCATTGATTATTTAAGTTAACAATCTCACTTTTAAAACAGCTAAGATTCTTTAAGATCATATTAACTCCTATATTTTCTTTTAAAATCTGGCACTTGTTTAAATAGGTAGTCAAGTATTGTTTCTCATTAACTCATGATTCTATTTAATCAAATGTTGAAACCTCCTGACAACTTCTGATATTTTGCCTTTTCCAAATCAAACCCTAAATGATATCCCTTGCACATAAAGCCATCTTTAATATTTCCCAGGGGTTCCTGGAAATATTTCACAGGATTTGTTTTTTTTTTACCATATAAAAAGCTATAAATAATTAGGTTTACTTGATATGATTTGCAGGAGAATTGTTGTCAAATGAGAACAGGTGCTAACCCCTTCCTGTGTTAAATTTATATGGGTAAAATATTATTAATATAAATATTGCAGAAATCATATAAAATTTTAGAGATTTGTCTCTGCACTTGCTGTCTATGATATGTTTCTATTTATCAGAGTCCTGGTGCTGCTTTTGTTAGAGAACAACAGTGTTGTACCATATTGTTAATTGTTTTTTAATATATTAATTTGGTCATGATGTTCTGTTTTAAATTAGATTCAGTATATTTTAAAGGTTTTTGATTGGGTATTAATGTGGGGATATGAGAATCCCTCACACTACTTAGGTTTGATTAATATACAGATGTTTAAAAATTCAGACTTACTGAATCTTTTGCTTGATAATCTTAATATATTTTGGTGTGTTTAATTGTATGCATGGTATATTCATGATATTTATATTGATGGATTATTTTTTGTTTTGCAAAGACATATTTTTTAAAAAAAATTGTGAGTACATAATAGGTGTATATATTTATAAGGCATATGAGAAATTTTGATACAGGAATACAATGTGTAAGAATCACATCCGGGTAAATGGGGTATGTATCACCTCAAGCATTTATCCTTTCTTTGTGTTACAAACAATCCAAATATACTTTTAGTTATTTTAAAGTATACAATAAATTATTGTTGACTGTAGTCACCCTGTTGTGTCATCAAATATTAGATCTTGTATATTCTATTCAACTGTATTTTTGTACCCATTTAACATGCCCCCTCTCCCCATACTACCCTTTTCAGCCACTGGTAACAAACATTCTACTCCCTATCTCTATGAGTTCAATTTTTAAAAAAATGTTTTGGCTCCCACGAATAAGTGAGAACATATGAAATTTGTCTTCATGTGCCTGGATTATTTTAGTTAACATAATGACCTCCAGTACCATCTATGTTGTTACAAATGACAAGATCTCATTCTTTTTTATGGCTAAATAGTAGTCCATTGTGTATATGTACCACATTATTTATTCATGTGTCTCTTGATGGACATTTAAGTTGCTTCCAAATATTAGCTATTGTAAATAGCACTGCAATAAACATGGGAGTGCTTGGCTCATGCCTGTAATCCCTGCACTTTGGAAGGCCAAGGTGGGACAATCACTTAAGGCCAGGAGTTTGAGACCAGCCTGGCCAACAGGGCAAAACTCCATCTCTACTAAAAATAAAACATAAAAAAAAAAAATTAGTCAGGTGTTGTGGTGCACGCCTGTGTTTCCAGTTACTTGGGAGGCTGAGGCATGAGAACTGCTTGAACCTGAGAGGCAGGAGTTGCAGTGAGCCAAGATCACACTGCTGCACTCCAGTCTGGGCAGCAGAGCAAGACTCTGCCTCAAACAAACAAACAAACAACAACAACAACAAATGGGAGTGCAGATATCTCTTCAACATACTGATTTCCTTTCTTTGGGGTATATACCAAGGAGTGCTGGATCATACGGTAGTTCTATTTTTAGTTTTCTAAGGAACCTCAAACTGTTCTCCATAGTAGTTGTACTAATTTACCTTCCCACTAACAGTGTATGAGCATTCCCTTTTCTCCACATTCTCACCTACATTTATTATTGCATTTTTAAACATAGAAGCCACTTTAACTGGGGTAAGATGATATCTCATTCTAGTTTTGATTTGAATTTCTCTGATAATCAATTATATTGAGCACATTTTCATATACCTGTTTGCCATTTGTATGTCTTCTTTTGAGAAATGTCTATTCACATATCTTGCCCATTTTTGAATCAGGTTATTGGATTTTTTTCCTATAGTGTTGTTTGAGTTCCTTATATTCTAGTTATTATTCCTTTTCTTGGATTTTTTTTCCTATAGTGTTGTTTGAGTTCCTTATATTCTAGTTATTATTCCTTTTCAGAAGAATAGTTTGCAAATATTTTCTCCCATTCTGTGGGTTGTTGTAGTTATTATTTTTGATAGGTTCATCTTTATCTTTCTACTCAAGATGATCGGTTCCACACTACAACAGTGTTATAGTAGTCTATGTTTTTCGGTGTACTTATTATTACCAATGAGTTTTGCATATTCAGGTGATTTGTTATTGCTCATTAATATCCTTTTCTTTGAGACTGAAAAATTCCCTTTAGCATTTCTTGTAGGTTATGTCTGGTATTGATAAAATCCATCAGCTTTTGTTTGTCCAGAAAATTCTTTATTATTCCTTCACATTGTAATATTTTTTCTGGATATACTATTACAGGACACATGCATTTTGTGTGTTTTTCCTTCAGCAATTTAAACATATTATGCTACTCTCTCCCGGCCTATAAGGTTTCCACTGAGAAGTCTGCTGCCAGACATATTGGAGGTCCTTTGTGTGTTATTTGTATCTTTTATTTTGTTGCTTTAGCATCCTTTTTTTATTCTTGACCTTTCAAAGTCTGATTGGAATGACACATTGGAATGACTGAGGTAGTATTCTCTGGGTTAAATCTGCCTTGATATTCTACAAACTTCTTGTACTTGAATACTGATAGCTTTCTCTAGGTTTAGGAAATTCTGTTACCCCTTTGAATAAATTTTCTACCCAAATATCTTTCTTTGTCTCCTTTTTAAGGACAATAGCTCTTAGATTTGCATTTTGAGGCTATTTTCTAGAACTTGTAGCTGTGCTTCATTCTTTTTTATGTTTGTCTCTTCTGATTATATTTTCAAACTGACTGTCTTCATGCACACTAATTCTTCTGCTTTATTAATTCTGCTGTTCAGTGATTCTGATGATTCGTCAGTGTGTTAATGGCATTGTCAGCTTCAGAATTTTGGCTTGATTCTTTTGAATTATTTCAATCTATTTGTGGAATTTATCTAATATGACTCTAAAGTCCTTTTCCATATTATGTTAAATTTTGTTGAGCTTCTTCAATGCAGCTATTTTGAGTTGTCTGTCTGAAAAGCTCACGTATCTCTGTCTCTCTGGGATTGGTACCTGGTGCCTAATTTTTTTTGGTGGGGTTGTGTTTTTCTGGATAGCCTTGATGCTTGCAGAAGTTTGTCAGTGTCTGGGCATTGAAGAGTTAGGTGTTTATTGAAGTCTTGCAGTCAGGGCTTGTTTGTACCTGTTCTACTTGAGAATGTTTTCCAAGTATTTGAAGGGATTTGGGTGTTGTGATCTGTCTTTAGTCACTGCAGCCATATCTGTTTGTTTGTCCAGAAAAGTCTTTATTATTCCTTCACACTGGAATGATATTTTTTCTGGATATACTATTACAGGACACATTTTTTTTTTTCTTTAGCAATTTAAACACATTATGTATGCTAGTCTTTCCTGGCCTTTAAGCCTGCTGCCAGACTCCTCAGTGGAAACCTAGCCCAGTAACTCCGTGGCTCTTTTACACTCATAGAGGCCCTGCCTTTGTGATCTTGGGTAAGATCTGGGACAATTCCATGGGTTACCAGGCAGAGATTCTGATTATCTTCCCTTACTTTCCCCCAAACAAATGAAGTTTCTCTCTCTGTGCTGAGCTTCTGGGAACTAGAGGAGGGGTAACACAAGAACCCTTGTGGCCACCACCAATGGGACTGTGTGAGGTTGGACCTGAAGCTAGCACAGTGCTGCATCTGACATAGGGCCTGCAGTGATCGCTGTCTGGCCCCTACCTTTGTTCACGCAAGCCTTGGGCTCTGAAATCAGCAGGTAGCACACCCAGCTGGGCACGTGTTCTTCTCTTTAGGGTGGTAAGTTCCCCCTCAGCCCTGGACAGGCTAAAGATGCTGTCCAGGAGCCAGAGCCTAAATAAGGAACATTAGGAATCTACCTGGTGCTTTATTCTACTATGGCTGAGCTTGCATCTAGGCTACATGACAAAGTCCTTCCCCATCCCTTCCTCCTTTTGCTAAAGCAAAAGAGCCTCTGAACATGGTCACCACCATCCCAGGCTGGCAAGTGCTGCCTGATTACCATTGATGTTCACTCAAGGCCCAAAGGCTCTTCAGTCAACTTGTGGTGAATACTGCCAGTCCTGAGCCTCTTCCTTCAGGTTAGTGGGCTCCCTTCTGTTTCAGGACAGGTCTAGAAATGCTGTCCAGGAGCCAAGGTGTGGAATCAGAGATCGTAAAAGCCAGCTTAGTGCTTGACTCCAGTGTGGCCGAGCTGTTACCCAAGCTGCAAGACATAATCCTCTTTACCCTACCCTCTGCTTTCCTCAAGCAGAAGCATTCTCTCCCTATATCCACCACAGCTGGGAATGATCTGGATCACACCTGAAACCAGCATGGCTCTGAGTTTCATCTAGCACTGCCTGGGTACTGCTACTGATTACACAGGGCCCAAAGGTTGTTTAGTTAGAAGGAAATAAATTCTGCCAGGACTGAGTCCTTCCCTTCAAGGAAATAGGTTCTCTTCTGGCCCAGGGTGTGTTTACAAATGTTTTCCTGGATCTAGGGTCTGAAATGGAGGCCTCTGGACCCTGTCTGGTGGCCCCAAAGAGCTTTTGTACTTGGCTAAATTGGTATCCAAGTTGCAAGTCAAAGTCCCCTTTACTCTCTCCTCTAGAGGGAAGGAATCTCTCCTCCAGCTGGGACCCTCAATGCCAGGAGTTCGGGGACAGATGACACAAACACTCCCTAAGCTGCCCAGGCTGGTGTCCCACTAGGTCATGTGGACCCTCAGTCCAGTGGCTCCCAGCCCAGCTCAGTACCAAGAATTGCCCAGGAATTGCTGTCTTTGTGGTCTAGATTGCTTTTGAAGTTTATTTAGAACCCTATAACCCTTTAGTCCATGGTGGTGGGCCCAGTTGGAACTCAAGTTCTGACTGATGGAATGGATAATTGCCTCTGTCTAGGACTGGTCTGAATACCCCTTCCATGGGTGTAGGCTGAGTTCTACCCCATGTTGCTTTCCACTGTGACAGGGTAGTGCTGATTCAATGCAAAGTTTCACAGTCCCTACATTATCCCTCCCACAAGCACAAGATTCTCTCTCTGGTCCATGTGGCTGCTGCCAGGTGATAGGGGAGGGGTAGTAGGGAATTCAAGTCTGTCTCTCCTACCCACTTTAGTTTCTCCTTCCATGATATGATGTTAAAACTAGGTTCTATTGTCTGTCACCTGATTTTTGATTCTTATAAAGATGCATTTTTTTGTGTAGCTAGTTGTTCAATTTGACATCCCTACACGGGGGATAATTTCTAGGGGCTTCTTTTTAGTTACCATTCTTTGCCTCCCCTCTCAAGATTGTTATACATCTGAGTGCTTTTTTTTTTTCTGTAAATACCATGTTCACTCATTTTCATAAATTAAATATTATATCTACTCTTTAAAAATAGAAATATCTATTATGTTTATAGTTATTTTGTCATTATTTCCCAAGTGATTTTTTTATTTTTCTTTTAATATTATTATTTTAAATTTCATAGACTCGGGCTACAGAGGTTGCTCTGTTAGATGGATATATTGCATAATGGTGAGGCTTGGGCTTCTAGAGTCCTCATTACCTGAGTAATGAATATTGTATTTAGTAAGTAATTTTTCAACTCTCACCACACTCCCACCATCATCCCCTCTCTTGAAGTCTTCAGTGTCTGTTATTTCCTTCTGTAGTCCATGTGTCCTCATTGTTTAGCTCCCACTTACCAGTGAGAACATACAGTATTTGATATTCTATTTTTTAGTTACTTTACTTAGGATAATAGCCTACAGCCTCATGCATTTTGCTGCAGTAGACATCATTTTTTTTATGGCTGTGTAATATTCCATGGTGGATATGTACCATATTTTATTTCCAATAATTCATTGATGGAAACTTAGTTTGATTCCATGACTTTGCTATTATAAATAGTTCTGCTATAATCATACAAGTCCAGGTGTCTTTTGATGTAATGATTTTTTTTCTTTTGGGTAGATAGCAAGTAGTGGGATTACTGGATTGAATGGTAGTTCTATTTTAAGTTGTTTGAGAAATCATACTGTTTTTCATGGAGACTGTACTCATTTATATTTCCATAAACAGCATGTAAGTATTCCCTTCTCACTGCATGCTCACCAGTATCTTTTTTTGATTTTGATAATAAACATTTTGACTGGTGTGAGATTGTACCTGCTTGTGGTTTTAATTTGCATTTCTTTGATGGTTAGAAATGTTGAGCATTTTTTAATATTGTTAGCCACTTATCTGTATTTTGAGAAATGTCCATTCATGTACTCCGCCCATTTTTAATGGGGCATTGTTTTTTTTCCTGTTGAGTTAATTGAGTTCCTTTTAGATTCTGGATATTAATCCTTTGTTAGATGTACAGTTTGCCAATATTTTCTCCCATTCTGTATATTGTCTGTTTTCTCTACTGAATATGTATTTTGGTGAGTAGAATATCTTTAGTTTAATTACGTTCCATTTGTATATTTTGTTTTGTTGCATTTGCATTTGAGGTGTTAGTTATACATTATTTGCCTATGTTAATGTCAAGAAGAGTTTTTCCTAGGTTTTCTTCTACGATTTTTATAGTGTTCAGGTCTTACATTTAAATCTTTAATCTATTTTTAGTTACTTTTTATATATTATGAGAAATATGGTCCAGCTTCATTCTTCTGCATATGGCTATCCAGTTTTCCCAGCACCATTTATTGAATAGAGTGTCTTTTCCTTTCCTCACTGTATATTTTTGTAAACTCTGTTGAAGATTGGTTGGTTGTAGGTATGTGGCTTTATTTCTAGAATCTCTATTCTGTTCAATTAATATAGGTGTCGATTTTTATGCCAATGTCATGCTGTCTTGGTTACTACAGTCTTGTAGTATAAATTGAGGTCAGGTAATGTGATGCCTCTAGCTTTGCTGTTTTTGCTTAGGATTGCTTTGGCAATTCAAGTGCTTTTTTGTTTCCATATAAATTTTAGGGTTGATTTTTCTAATTCTATAAAAAGTAACGTTGGTAAATTAATATGAATTGTGCTGATCTGTAGATTGCTTTGGGCAGAATGGTCATTTTGATGAAATGTACCCTTCAAATCTTAATTATGTTTTCCCCCCCTTTGTTTGTGTCATCTATGATTTCTTTCAACAGTGTCTTGTAGTTTTCCTTGTAGAGATCTCTCACCTCCTTGGTTCAATGTATTGCTAGGTGTGTGTACGTGTGTGTATGTGGATGTGCAGGTGTATGGCTATTGAAAATGAGACTGTGTTTTTGATTTGGTTCTTAGCTTGAACGTTATTGGTATGTAGAAATGCTACTGATTTTTGTATATTGATTTTGTATCCTGAAACTTTATTAAAGTCACTTATTAAGTCTAATACTGTTTTGGAGTCTTTAGGATATTTTATGTATAAGATCATGTCATCAGCAAACATAGATAATTTGACTTCCTGTTTTCCAATTTGAATGCCTTTTATTTCTTGTTCTTGCCTGACTGAACAAGGAATTTAAGGACTATGTAGAATAGGAGTGGTAAGAGTGAGCATCCTTTAGGAGAAATGCTTTCAGCTTTTCCCCATCGAGTATGATGTTGGCTGTGCGCCTGTTTTAATATGGTTAGTATTATTTTGAGGTATATGCCTAATTTGTTAAGGATTTTTATCATGCCTATTTTGTTAAGGGTTTTTATCATGAAGCAATGTTGAATTTTATTGAAAGTTTTTGCTGCATCTATGGAGGTAACCATGTTTTTTTGTTTTCAATTCTGTTTGTATGGTGAATCGCATTTATTGTTATGTATTGATCTGTGTGCCTTGAGCCATACTTGCTCCCTGGGTTAAAACTCACCTGATAGTGATATATTATCTTTTTGATGTACAGTTGGATTTGGCTTGTGAAAGCAAAATGAATCTTGGGGCCCCCAAATCAACAAGCTCAATAGAAGAGTCAAGCTGAGAACTGCTTAAGGCAAACCTGCCTCCTATTCCACTCAAAGTCATCCCTCTGCTCACTGACATAAATGCATATCTGATTGCCTCCTTTAGAAAGGCTAACCAGAAACCAAAAAGAGCTAATGGGAAACTAAAAAGAATGCAACCATTCCAGGTCATCCTGTGACCTTGTACATCTTACATATATTGATTGATGTCTCATGTCTCCCTAAAATGTATAAAACCAAGCTGTGCCCTGATTACCTTGGGCACATGTCATCAGGACCCGCTAAGTTTGTGTCAGGGGTGTGCATCCTCAACCTTGGCAAAATAAACTTTCTAAATTAACAGGGACCTGTCTCAGATATTCTGGGTTCGCTGGTTTGCTAGTATTTTGTTGAGGATTTTAGCATCTATGTTCAACAGAGATATTGGTTGTAGTTTTCTTTTTTAGTTGTGTCCTTGCCTAATTTTGATATCAGGGTGATACCTGTTTCACAGAATGAGTTAAGGAAGAATCCCTTCTCCTAATTTTTCAGCGATAGGTTTCAGTAAGATTGGTACCAGCTCTTCTTTGTATGTTTAATATCTTTAGTTTGTTTTGTATGCCACAGAAACAACAAAATTTTCTTGTCAGTTACATTGTTCCTATAATGAACTCTTATTAGATATTTTACTTTTGAAATTTATCATTAATAAGTTAAACAACAGTGATTTTGAGCCTTTTATCATCTAAATATAGTTATTTTGCTCTGATGCTTCCCTGAAAGCTCTTGAAAGTCAATGAGAGTAAAATGCTTTGACTTTCACAAAAAGTGTATCAGAAATTTAGAAAATAACTATGCTACCCAGGCATTCTTAGACATAAACTTCTGATGGCATTTTGTAAGTAATTTTGAGACTATACCAGTAGACTGACTCAGAATTTTCAGAACTCTCTTGGAGAAGCAGATGTGTTTGTGAGGTTGCTACACCGATATCAAGCAAAACAAGGATTAAATCCATAGGACTGAATGCACCTGATGAATGATGATTATGGGGTTTTTTTGGAATATTGCTACTATTTTAATATATTTTCTCGATATACAGAACCATTTATTTTCTCTTAAGCTATCTATAACTCATAACAATTTAGTAGACTAAGCTTCTTATAAACAGAAATGAAGCATTTATTATTTTTTTACCTGCTAAAGCTCACAGAATTTGGAAATTGTTATTGAACATTCTTATGATCATGACAATAAAGTTATTGGTATAGGTTCTATAAGTGTCTGCTCAACGTATTAACATGAGATAACTAGAAATTTTCTATGCAAATTTTAAATTCTTGCAGTTTCCTTCAATGTTAGCTACAGCCCTCTAAATGAATGCTTCCAATTTAGTTCCAAGATTAAAACTTCAATGTTCAGACACTTATTGGGACTGTAAGGTGACTCATAGCTGGTTTTCCACCCCAGCACCTGAAAAAGTATTCTCAGCAAAAGCCCAATAATTTTACATAGTTCTTGAAAGACTCATGATTGCAGTAGATGAAGCATGGTCTGGATTTCTCCATGACTGAGCCAATGTTTCAGCCACTATGTAAAATGCTTTGGTCATGCGTGCTTTTATAAAAATGATAATCAAAACTACAGGTAACATCCCCAAGAACACTGAACTCTTTTTTCAAAAATCTCAATGAGTAATGGTATGTAAACAAAATATTTTTACTAACCTCTTGGAACCTGCTAGACTAAATAGACTCAGGATTAAACTCCTGGCTCTTTAAACAAAACTTTTAAATTAATAATTATTTTGTTTTTATTCCAAGCATTTCTCTTTTAAGAGGTACAATCTTCAGTACTCTAAATTAACTGATGTTTATTGCCATGCCGCAAAATAGTTCAATTAACTTTGCAAAGACTGCACAAACAACAGTCTGTCCAGAGACTATTTCATAGACCCAAATTCACTCTACTCAAGGAGGTTTATGACTGTTACTGAAATTTTTAGTAATGAATAATCACCATAAAAGGAATGCCAATATTTTTACCTTGAGATGACAAACCAAAACTGTAGCATGCAGCTAAAGCAGTACTTATAGGAAAATTTGTAACTTTAAATGCCTACATTAAAAAAAGAATGAATAATTCAAATCAATAGCATAACCTTCCATCTTAAGGCATTGGAAGATAAGAGCAAACTCGACCCAAAGCAAGCAGACAGAAATAAATGATAAAGATTAGGATGGTCATGATGTTGTACTTTACCTGAGCCCGGTAGTCATGGAAAATAGTAATAATTAAAAATTTTCTTCATCCTCTAGTGGTCTGGGAAGTGGTTAACAACAAAGAACTAACCTGTCCCATATTATTTAGGTAAGATTTGCTCCTCATTCCTTCTCATGATTCCAGTCAGACTCGAAAATGACTCATTGATTTAACTGTGACATTATCACACATAGATATTTTTCCTTTACCTGAAGCTACTTAGGATGCCAGACATGGAACCACAAACTCCCTGTTTTATGCCTCACAAATAATTAAACTTTGTCCCTGTGAAACTAGCTAAAAACAGAGATAAAGATTTCCTGTTTAGCTGATTGTGACTTCCCACCATCATAATAACAATACCAAATGTAAATTATCCAGTAATCAGTTCTTTATTTCTCCCTGTGAAGGCATATAACAAAACCATCCTGCTGAGATACTGATGTTTGGATGTGTGGTGCTGACTCTACTGCATTAGCCTGAATAAAAACATCTTCTTTACTTGACCAATTTTGTCTTTGCAACAGAAATTAGTAAAATAGTGAAAATCAACAAAGCTACAAGTTGGCTCATTGAAAAGTTGAACAAAATCTGACAAATTTTTAGCTAGACTGATCAAGTAGAAAAAAGAAAATTCCAAGTACTAAAATCAATGATAAAGAAGAATTTACTAACAACTTAATAGAAATAAAATGGATTAAGTGAACACTATGTACAACTATAAACAAAAAATAGTTAACTTACATGTAATGGACAAATTCCTAAAAGAATACAAACTATAGAAACTGGCTCAAGAAGAAATAGACAATCTGAATAGACCTATAACACAAAATGAAATAGTAAATAAAAAAATACCCACAAGGAAAGCTTAGCCCCAGATTGTTTAATGGTGAGTTCTGAACATATTTAAAGTATAATTAATGTCAATTGTTTATGGGCTCATCCACAAAAGAGTATGTTACTGCTCATTCTATGAAGCCCGTGTTACAATTATACCAAAATTAGACCACAAAAATAAAGAAGAAAAGAAAACTCAAGGAGAAAACTATAGACCAATATTTCTTATAAATGTAATATTTTTGAGAAAATACTAGCAATCTTAACTGAGAAACCATATAAAAAGGTTATATACCATGACCAAGTTGGATTTATCCCAGGAATGGAAGATTGGTTTAACATCTTTAAAACAATACATATGCTATACCATAATATTAAAATAAAGGAAAATAAACACATCCTCATCTGAATAGATGCAAAAATAACATCTGACAAAAAGGAAACACCCTATCATGATAAAAATATTTAACAAATTTAGAATAAAGGGAGACATTCTCAACTTTATAAAGAGCATCTGAAGAAAAACCACCACTCACATGAATCTTAGTGATGAAAAATGGAATGTTTTTCTCCTAAGTATATGAAAAATGTAAGAATGTTTGCTTGTGTCACCTCTTTTCTGGAGGTTCTAGCAAGACAAATCAGGAAATAAGATTAAATAAAAGTCATCAAGATTGGAAGGAAAGAAGTAAAACTATCTCTAATTGCAGAACACATGATCTTTTATATAGGAAATTCTGAGGGATCCAGTGAAGAACATTATAGATAGTAAACAAAGTCAAATCTATAGAGACAAAAAATTGGTTAGTGATTTTTAGGGACTGGAAGGAGTGGGCAATGGGAAATTACTGCTAATAGGTATGAAGTGATGGAAATCTTCTAAAATTGTTTGTGACAATATATGTAGAGTTCTGAAATACTAAAAACCCTTGAATTTCACACTTTAAAGGTGAATTACATGGCATTTGAATTACATATCAACAAATTTATACCTTAAGAAAATAAAAATGAAAGAAATAGGTTTTTCTGGTAGAATATATGGTAAAGCGAAATAAAACATACTATTTTTAAATTTAATGCAATTAGTTCAGTTTCTGTAACTGGTGAAATAGTAAATTAAATAATGTAATAACATGGTACATATATAAAAATATATACATTATATATACTTTAATATACTTCATATATAATTTTTATTGGAATGCTGCATTATATTTTCTTACACAAATTAGTAAAATTTTTACTTCTGAACTCCTCAAAATATAGTGGAAACCTAAATGCAGTATATATAGTAAACAACGTGGAATGCATCTCAATTTAGTCTTTTCTTCACCTGATTAAATTTTATTTCCCACATAAAACTCGTAATTCATTGGCAGGTTTAATAGTGACTGTTCTACAACTTGATCTTACCAAATGATTTAACTTACTTTTCAGTAAAAGTTATTATTTTTTAATGCCCTCTTTCCACTAGTTTCTACAATAATTTAATAATATATTTACAATAACATAGGAAACCGGCATTTAAAAGGATTGGAGACAAATGCTAGTTAATTGTGTTAGCCAAATCAATCAAAACAGGGAGCAGAAGTGAGCATCCATATTAAAAATCGGTAAATTAATTTTAAATTATATTTATATGGACATTTTTAGGACAAAACGGACTATTTTAGTAAATATGGTAAATTGGTTAAAAGTTGGTTAAGATATTTTTTATACTAGCCTTTTTTTATGTTCAATTCATGAGAATTTATATTGATTATGTAAAATTAGGTAAAAGATTAACTAGATAGAAGGCTGTATTGAAAACCCCTGTTGTTTTAAATACAATAATTACTATCATTGGGTATAAGAACAGTAGTTTTCTTAATCGAGGTTAAATCATTTCAGTTAATTGCATAATGGTGATAGACTGTAAAAGACAATTCAATTCAACTATATCTTGCTAAATTTTGGAAGCCAAAAAATGGGATATAATTATTTGTATTCTGGAACACTTAGTACAAATAAAACAAACAACTTATTAATAGTTGAGGTTAGTTACCAGATATCATGGCTTCTCAGTTGTACCAAGATAAATTATGTTGACACATCAGCAAGTCTTTTCTCATTAGGGTCAATGGAGCTGGGGGAGGATTGTTACTCATGCTATTTGGCTTGGTCATGGAGAACTATGATTTATCTTTTAGACTTAGGCTAATGCAGATAAAATAGATCTACATATGGTAGATCTATTTTGGTAACTAGCCATCATAGTCTGAAGATGCCCAATATAAGAGGCTAAAATTTATGTGCAGAATTCTAAATAGAATTCAAAAGAGTTCCTGCCAAGCCACTCAAATTGTTGTTTAATAAATTATTAAACCTATCTGAAAGAGTATTAATAATGTCAATACGTACTGAGCAGTTATATGTATTTACAATCCACAAATTTATGCAGTAACTTTTTATCATTTAACCACTTAAAATTAGACTATTAATTGAAACAAGAAACAACTACTGTTACTAAGGTTTATTTAAATTATGAGAAAGTCTTAATGGCACTGGTGGAATTCAAAGGGCTTGTCTTTTCAGAAATCATAAATCTTATAAATTTAGAAATATCTTTGAAAAGGGAATCCCATTTATAGACTTAATCATTAAACTAATTATTACAGTGATTGTAATTAAAATAGTCATTAATGAAGCAATCTCCAATTATAGTCTGACTCAAGTTCATTTCCTATCAAGTGAAGTGTGGTTTCCGATATAGTCTATACCAATTTTCCCAAATTTAAAAAATATAGTTTTTTAAATTTTAAACCACTGGTTTCCTTATTTTTTAAGTAAATACTGTTTTTGAGTTAAAGGTTTTAAGTAAAGTCTATTGTTATTGAGTTAAAGGTTCATATAAAACTATTGCAGTTCCTTTCTCCCACTAACACCTAAATACGTTTAAAAATCACATCCCTGGAATAAATGCAGATGTTCACCATGTAGACATGTAGGCATGTCTGTTTATGTCATGCCTGCCATTCACTTCTCTATTGGCTGTGGCATGTATAATAAGTCTTAGAGAATGCAAGCAAACCTCTGATTGGCAATGAAGTGCATTCTCTGGCACTCAGCAGCCACAAATTTGGGAAATTTATTTTTATATTTTTTACTAAACTGTGATCCTCAATAGCAGTTTCTTTTATCTGACAAGTGTATCAGACTGCCCTTAATTTTCTTGCCTTAGTGACAAGTCAAATTTCGAGAACTGCAATATATTCTAGTCATAGGTACGTAGACCCAATCATCATTAGATAAGAGATCTTCTGTTTCACCATATTTATGATGTAATCTTGATTGAACCTGCAAATAGCATCAATCCTGTTCTTAGTTATGTACCTAAGATATCAGTCCCATAAGTAGCACAAGGGAAAAAAATATCCCATCAGGATACAGAAGTAGGCTACTATAGTGGCATGTTCCCGCATGTCATTCAGAGCCATTTGTGACACATGTGTCTTAAATGGTCATTAAAAATTCAAGCTCAAAAATAAGCTTGGACTGAGGGGAAACTACGTGATGGAACATATGCCTTAGAATTACAAGTACCCTGTTTATGCATTATCCTTGTTTTTAATATTATCATCTCATATACAATGTAATTTATATTTGTTTTCTTCTACTGTCAATAGAATAGTGATTTTTCATAGCTTTTATGTGGGCAAAGGAAATGAAAAGACACTTCTCAAGAGAAGACATACAGGCAGCCACCAAGCACATGAAAAAAGCTAAACATCACTGACCATTAGAGAAAGGCAAATCAAAACCACAATGAGATATCACCTCACACTAGTCAGAATAGCTATTATTAAAAAGCAAAAAGTGATACATCCTGGTAAGGTTGTGGGAAAAAAGCAACACTTATACATTGTTAGGAGTGTAAATTTTTTCAAGCATTGTGGAAAGCACTGTGGTGATTCCTCAAATACATATAAACAGAGTTACAATTACTGGATATATACCCTCAAAGAATATAAATCATTCTATTATAAAGACCCATGCAGGTATATGTTCATTATAGCACTATTCACAATAGCAAAGACATGGAATAAACCTAAATCCCCATTATTGGTAGAGTGTTTAAAAAAAATTTAGTAAAAATGTGGTGCATATGCACCATGGAATATTATGCAGCCATAAAAAGAATGAGATCATGTCCTTTGCAGGAACATGGATAGATCTGGAGGCCATTATTTTTAGCAAACTAATGTAGGACAAAAAACCACCAAATACCACCTGTTCTCACTTATAAATGGGAGCTAAATGATGAGAACCCATGGACACATAGACAGGAACAAAACACACTGGGGCCTACCTAAGGGTGGATAGAGGGTGGGAGGAGAGAGAGCATCAGAAAAAAATAACTAATAGATATTAGTCTTAATACCTGAGTGGTGAAGTAATCTGTACAACAATCTCCCATGACACAAGTGTACCTATACAACAAACCTGCACATGGACCCCTCTACTTTCCCCTAAAGGGGTTTTTTAACCCCTAAAAGTTTTTTTAAAAAAGAAATACACTTTTTATGAATAAGGGCTTCCATTCTTACTTTCTCATGTGTCTATTTTTAACATAGTCTGAGAATTCTCTGAAAATCTTATGTTATATTTTTCAACACACTGCTCTTTAAAAAATTTCAACTCACTAAAAAAGATACATATATATGTATATATATAAAGATATGTATATGTATATCATGTATATGTTTCTCTCTCTCTCCCTAGAGTGATACATATACACAAGCTAATAGGCCTATCTCTGTGGAGTTCCTCAGTCTAATTCTATATTTAATGTATACAGAAGAGATAGATCTTATAGAATAGCAGATTGGTCCACTGAACATTTGGCTAAAGGGTCAACTTAGAGAAAAACAACATAATTGCATTTCATATGTGCTATTTTATATGAACAAATATTTAATATTTGGTGTGTTTCATAGCAAAATCATAATACATTTATCCAGAAACAATATATTGAGAAAGGGGTTGAGATACTCTTGGCCCTTTCTGCCCCTGCTGATGATAGTGATTACAGCATTCACACTAATTTCTTTTAATTCTTCTGACTAATAAGATTTATTTTGTTGTATATAAGATTTAAGACTAGATTGGGCACAGTGGCTCACCCCTGTAATCCCAGTACCTTGGGAGGCTGAGGTGGGTGGATCACCTGAGGTCCGGTATTCAAGACCAGCCTGGTAAACATGGTGAAACCCCATCTCTACTAAAAATTCAAAAAATTAGCTGAACGTGGTGGTGCATACCTGTAATCCCAGCTACTCGGGAGGCTGAGGCAGGAGAATCACTTGAACCCAGGAGGCAGAGGTTGCAGTAAGCCGAAATTGTGCCACTGCACTCCAGCCTGAGCAACAGAGTGAGACTCCATCTCAAAAAAAAAAAAAAATTAAGACTAATGGGCAGGAACATTTTAATCAGAAGACAATAATATATGAACTTAATTAGATGCAGACACTGCAGTGTAGTGTAAGTGAGGCAAACAGGCAAAATATTGGGTATTTCTTGATGTAATTGATGTTTCCTTTTCTGAAACAATTTTATTGAGGTATTGTTGACACATAAAAAGGTATACATGTTTGAAATATAGAGATTTATGAATTTGGGGATAAACATGCACACTTAAGTTATCCACTCAGCAAGTGAGCTAGACCACCATAAGTGCTACTGAGAGTAAGGAATGTTAGAATGGGTTGTAGATACCCAGAAAGGAGAGCATTAATGTGTGTTTCAGATTTAGGATTAGCTGCATCAATCAATAGGGACTGTGGTTTGCCCTAATAATTATTCTTTTACTTTTATTATTATTATTTTTTGAGTTGTGACTACTTACTACTTTAGAAAATTGTTGACAGTTCAGTATGAATTTTATGTGGTGTATTTGACTAGATCCAGGCAGTGTATGATGGACTGTAGCGGATTCTGAGTTGTACTCATCCATACTCCCTCTCCTCTTTCTATTTTCATCTACGCTTGCCTGACTTCCAGCTACCAAATCTTATGTGTCTTTGCC
Organism: Homo sapiens; assembly: GCF_000001405.40. Lineage (NCBI taxonomy): Eukaryota > Metazoa > Chordata > Mammalia > Primates > Hominidae > Homo > Homo sapiens. The sequence continues at coordinate 88,378,256 of NC_000013.11, read as the reverse complement.
TGAAAGTTTTTTTCTTTTCTTTCTTTTCTTTTCAGACACTGTAATTTTCTCTATCTATAAATAGGCCAAAGATACAGGGGAAATAGCAACTTTGGAAACAATTCTCTATGTGGCAATGGATAAATACCCTCACCGTCTTATAGTTATGGTTGAGCACACAAAATCATATAGTCTACTCTGACTCTAATGATTAGCAAGCAGAATTTATCTCCAGATATTCTCAGTGGTTGCTTGTCTAATAATCTACCTTTTTTTCTTTTCTTGACTTTCGTATCTCACTTTCATGCTTTTCTACCACAATTTCCTGATATCTCCTCACAGATGAAATATTAGCATCCAAATCATTTTTTCAGAGGACTCTAAACTAACATGGGTGACCTTAGCATAGAGTAAACTTGGATTCATGACGGTTTTTTTTTTTTTTAATTCTTATAGAGACTTGGTAAATCACAGAAGGAAAAAGAGAGATTCATAGGAAACACTGACACCCGAGGGGAAAAAAAAGGAATAATATGTACAAAAGCTCCAGGAAAGAGTAGTCAGAAAAACAGGAGGAAACACAGTGAGAATTTTCTATCAACAAGCTGAAAGAAGGCAGTGGTTCAGAAAGGCAGAAAACACTCAGGGAGCCAAAATTTTAGAAATGTAAAGCATTTTAATAACTAAAAATTGTCCCTTGTTTTTAGTGCATCGATTATTTCTGTGTAGGCAGTGATCAGATTCTGGTACATTTAAGACGTCAGTGAGCAGGTGATACGAAAAGGTAATTTACAGAATGAATGACAGAGAAAGGCAAAGAGTTGTAGAAGAGATAAACTTTCAAGACAGAAGGATAGTAAAGATAGAAAAATAATAACTGATAAACATATAAAGACACCTGAGTGAGAGTAACAGTGATTGTAAGGAAGTAAGAAATCTGAAAGGATAAGAATTTAGAGCAGAGAATGCCATATTTATAACTAAACTTTAGAAAAGAAGAGGCTGGGAAACAGCATTTCTATGAAGGTATATTTTTCAAATGAAAGCAGTAATTTTGTGACATGAAACACAGAAACCGAAACTTAAACTGTCTTTGAGGTGTGATAAAATAAATAAAGTGTTAGCCCCTGCTTCAAGTAAAGTAATTATAGAAAAAAAATTACATACTTAACAAGAAGATACATTTTTTACCTGAATTTCAGGTATTAACAGCCACTATAGCCTAGATTTGTGAAGTAAACAAACTCTACTTAATTAAGGCTTGAATGAATCATTGCCTGCCGTGTTCCTTGGGCAATTGGCATTGCCAAAATTACTCTAGACAAGTCAGGTGGTACAGAGGAATTAAGCAATTCATGTAGAATGTGTTGCTAAATAATATTTGGTGATCTATGTATCCCAGGTTTATTAGGTAACAACTGCCTTTGTTTCACTTAACTTTTATTTGTATAGCTTTACATTGACACATTTATTTTTAAATTATTAAGTTGTGAAGTATGACATATATTCAAAAATGAATGCTATATAAATATTGATTTCAATGGAGTATGATGTAAAGACCCTATGTTTACCACCACTCAGGAAAGAAAAAGCACATTTTTAGAAAGACAAAATTAGTTTCACTTCCAATCACTATCCATTCCCTACTACCCAAAAGTAACTTCTAACCTAACTCCTAAAACTATAATTCAGAACTGCCTAATTTTGCACTTTTAAGTCGAAACATATAGTATAGCTTTCTTTATATCTGACTTCTTTGCCCAATATTAAGTGTGAAAATATTCCATAGTATTGTATGTAGCTGTATTATCTTTAAGTGAAATACAGTATTCCATAGTGTGAATATAATGCTATTTATCCATTTTATTTCTGATAGCTATTTGAACTTTATCAATTTTGTCCTGAAAATGTCTTCTGCCCGGTGTGGCTTGTAATTGTTCTTTTGTTATGTCCTTATACTTAGATTTACATACTATCATGAATGAGTTTTTATTCATGTGATGTACAAATTACAAACAGCACTGATGTGAACATTCTCTTACATTCTCTTGGTATACATAAACCTGTTAGGTAACAGGTTACATATATATTAAAGTTTAATAGGCAAAGTTATCAGTGTGTGAGGGTTTTGGCTATTCACCATTCTATGCATATGTTAATATTGACATTTTTTAGCCATTTTGGTTGTAATACAATGCTATTTGCGTTTGATTTGAATTTGAAATTTTCTAATAGTCAATGCCTCAGTCTCCCGAGTAGCTGGGACTACAGGTGAGTGCCACCACACCTAGCTAATTTTTGTATTTTTAGTAGAGACAGGATTTCACCATGTTGGCCAGGATGGTCTTGATCTCCTGACCTCGTAATCTGCCCACCTCAGCCTCCCAAAATGCTGGGATTACAGGCATGAGCCACCGCGCCCTGCCAACCTTTTCTTATACCTGTTGACCATTTATATGTCTTCTTTAGTCTTTTGCTTATTTTTGAACACTAATTTTTGTTTGTTGCCATTGCCTTGTGGAGTTTATGTTTGAAAAAGTAACCCCTTATCAGATATATGATCTGAACATATTTTCTCTCATTTCTTGAGCTGTCTTTGAAGAGATAACTGCACTCCCATGTTCATTGTGGCATTATTCACAGGAGCCAAGATATGGAAACCTCCTAAATGTCCACCAACAGCCAAGTGGATAAAGAAAATGTCATTCTCTCTCACACACACAAACACAATGGGTGTTATTAAGCATTAAAGAAGAAAATCTACCATGTGCAGTATTATGGATAGACGTTAAAAACATTTTGTTAAGTGAAGTGTCAGTCACAGAAGGACAAACACTGTGTGATTCCATTTATATGAATTATAAAAAGTTAAGCTTATAGAAGCAGAAAATAGAATGGTGGTTGCCAGGGAGGTATATAAAGTTATTCAATGAGTATAAACTTACCATTATACAAGGTGAATAAATTTAAAAGATCTGCTCTACAACTTAGTGCATATAGTTTAGAAAACAGTGTTGGGCGCTTGAATATTTATTAAGATAGATCTTATGTTAAATCTTCTTGCCACACACACACACACACACACAAAGGGACAGAATAATATTTGGGGAATGATGAATAGGTTTATTACATTGGTTGTGATGATGATATCATGGATGTATGTATATGTCCAAACTCATCAAATTATATACATTAAATGTGTACGTTGTTTTGTATATCAATTATATCTCAATAAAACTGTTTTTTAAAAAGTAGGTAGAATAGAAATCTTTGTTTTATTTTGACCTCAGAGGGTATAATTTTTTCATAGGCATGATTTTTGTTTGTTTTTTAAAAAGTGCTTTCTAGAATTCATTGGCAAAACAATATAGATGTAGACATTTTATCCAAAAGAAATATTTAAATTATATAATTTATTTAATAGATTTCATATTCTATTCCATCATGTCATTTGCTATAAGTTTCATTTTAAGGTACTATTTAATTTATATTTTAAACAAAATGTTGAGTTTTTATAATTTATAATGATTTGCCAATATATGCTTTATAATAGTATTCTTTTTAATTCTCATATATTTATTTGTATTTTCCTTTTTTCTTACTTCAGTCTCAGCTTGGGCTATTAATTTTACTGGGTTTTTATAGAATTATTATTTGTCAGTTATTTCTATTTTTTTATCTTATCTGCTTGCCGAGACGTTGGGCACCACATGCCGAGACCAGCTCGGTTGGGGAGACCGTAACCCAGCAGCGCTAGAGGAATTAAAGACACACACACAGAAATATAGAGTGTGAAGTGGGAAATCAGGGGTCTCACAGCCTTCAGAGCTGAGCTGTACACAGAGCATAGTGCTGGCATCGGCTCCTGTGAGGACCTCAGGAAGCTTGCAAGATTTACCCACATATTTATTAACAGCAAAGCAGTCATTAGCATTGTTTCTATAGATATTAAATTAACTAAAAGTATCCCTTATGGGAAACGAAAGGATGGGCCGAATTAAAGGAATAGGTTGGGCTAGTTAACTGCAGCAGGAACATGCCCTTAAGGCACAGATCGCTCATGCTATTGTTTGTGGTTTAAGAATG